>NT_187523.1:0-161578 GCF_000001405.40 Homo sapiens | reverse complement strand
AGCAGCAGGCACTTGCTCTATACCAGGTGAGGGTGTGGAGACATGACGTGGTGCAGGGACACCAGCACCCAGTCCTAGTTCTGGTCCCTCTCAGCCTTGTTAGGTCCTGGTTCCTAGGATTCCAGGGAACATCCCCACAGCCTCACAATAAGATCCTCCTTTCCTGTATATGCTAGCTTGGATGGGATCCTCTGTTCTGTAATCAGTATGGCAACAGAGCAGATGAAATATTTAATGGTCTTTCATGAGCACTAAATTTTGTTTTTTACAAACTAGGTTAGATTCTGTCAAATAATCGTCTAATGGTGTATTCGAGTGTATATTAAGGATCTGATTCATTCTATACCCACTAACCATAAACAAACAGATTAAGTTTTCTTTCTCAGAATCTAATCCTTCAGTTTCTTGGAAGCTGGACTAGTTTCAGAGCATCTACAAACATTTCTGGAATATTTAACTTACCCTGAAATAACATACGATAGACAGTAATTCCCTAAATTATTTTCCCCAATTGTTGCAAAATAAAGCAAATGCAGAGTTTCTAGGACTATAAAAGGAACTCAACTTCCCGGATCCTAGTAAAGAAACAGGAAACAGCTTGAAGCTCTCTGGTTTGTTTTATGGCTCATGAAAAAGCTTTAGCCCAACTTGGCAAAAGAAAGGCAGGGAAAGAGTTCACATGGCTCTGCACAAACCCAACCCAATTACTAATTTCATGTTAGCCACTCTTTATGTGGAATTAGAGGGCTCACAGATGCCCTGCCCTCCAAAACATGCCACAGGGAGGACACATTCCCATCAGCATCAGGGGTTCATGCTAACACAGAGAAAATGCGTATGACCGCAGGAGTCCATGCTTGGTTTAAATAGCCCTGCTGTTGACTCAGATATGTACAGGTAGGCAGGAACCACACACTGCACACATATACCACATGCCACCACACACCATACATCCCACAGACCAATGTGTGCACAAATACATGCACAACCATACATACACACCATACATACAACACACATACACCATACACACAACACACACCAATGTGTGCACAAATACACAGCCACATACCACATGCACATGCAAGCACACACAGTGGCGAATCACTGCCTCAAAAGCTCCTCATATGCTATTATCTGTCAGAATGTGAACCATAGATCTGACATTGCAAAAGAAATGTGTTTTATGCAACTTTATTAATACATTTATTTAATGTGACTCCATATTCAACAGAAACAATCCAAGATACTCTCTTATTTATAATAGAATACTTACTTCTTTTGTGCTTTCTTTATGGACATAGATCCATTTTTCATGATAAAAACCTAGAATAAAAATTACCTTTGTTTTTAAAATCTGGCAAATCATTTCAAAATGAAGATTTTAAAGGAATTTAAATAATTGGACATGTTAACAAAATTATCTGACTTACTATATTGACAAGAAATGCTTTTACTTGGTTGAATGCAAACAGAATTGCTTTGTTTCTTAAATCAGTTTAAGATATGAACAATGATTTCAGACAGTACCAAGTCCTAGTAACTTAGAAGAAAATTAGTATTATTAATGACTGAAGCCATATGAAGACATAAATGATTATAAAATGCAATTACATTACTACATTCCTATGTACCCTAATAAAAAGTTCTATTCTTCTGTTGCTGTGTATAGTACTCCATAGAAACAAATTTTTCAGATAAATCTTAAAAGTTTCAAGAATCACACTAACTGTATTCTCCATGTGACCCTATCTTCTTCATAAAGTAGTCCCCCCGTATTCACAGTTTCATCTTCTACAGTTTCAATTACCCACAGTCAGCTTTGGTTTGAAAACATTAAGTGGAAAATTCCAGAAATAAACCATTCATAAGCTTTAAATTGTGTGCCATTCTGGGTGGTGTCATGAAATCTCACACCGTCCGGCTCTGTCCTGCCTGGGATGCAAATCCTCCCTTTGTCAAGCGAGTCCTACACTACCCGCCCCTTGGTCACTCAGTAGCCGTCTTGGTTATCGGATCACCTGTTGAGATATCACAGTGCTTGTGTTTAAAGAACCCTTACTGTACTTCATAATAGCCCCAAAGTGCAAGAGCAGTGATGGTGGCCATCTTGCTATAACTGTTTCATTTTATTATTATTCTCGTTAATCTCTTACTGCACCTAATTTATAAATTAAACTTTATTATAAGTGTGTATATACAGAAAAAAAAACATAGTATCCATAAGGTTTGGTAGTATCCACAGTTTCAGGCATCCACTGGAGGTCTATCCCGAGGTAAGGGAGCCTACTATACATTAACAGGTGTCTTGGTAACTCACAGATATGCTGCATGATAGAACTCTATGCCCTCTCACAGATAGGTCCCACCTCCAGCCTTCCCCTGCTGCCATCTAACATCCTAAACTCCAGCTCTGAATGTCTGTCTCCTGCTGTGAATCTTCAATGACTTCGAAACTCAAGTCAGGACACCTCTCAGTTTGGCCTCACTGCTCAAGATTGAGCTGAATTCATGACCATAATTCAAGCATTCAGATTCATGGGCTGTTTTGTGGGTTTTGCTATCTCTTATTTTGTTTTTGCACATCTTACCCACTGAAACGTTGGGCTGCAAAAAGTTTGATCACTAAATATGTAGGCAATGCTGGATACTGGGCTGTTATTTACATATTTGTATCACCTTTTATTTCATAAGATAGCACTGTCAGAGTAATTTAGTATTTCAACATAATCAACAAGTAAAATAAAATTAATGAGAATGATCTTACTTTGAGTATTTGTGTCATTTCTAAAATGGTCCTTTTTCTTTTTTTGGATGCATATTCATGCTCTTCATTATTGAGTATTTCTCCATCTTCGCTATTTAAGATACTGAAATAAAGACATATTCTATTAAAATATTTTTTCAGGGAGATCTTCATTTGGCTTTTCTTTTGTAAAAGGATACAAATACTTCAAAGTGACAGACTGTGGGCTTGAAATCACAGGGGTAATGTCTAATACATTTTTGTTTCATTTTGAGAAATAAGATGTATCCTGGTTCTTTGAGAATATTGTACCAGAAAGTGCTGAACATGTTTTAGAATCTCTGAAGGGTCTTGATATGCTTATCCAAGGTAGTTTCAAACATCAAAATGGCTTATTAAAACAGAGATTTTTTAAAAAACAACTATTAAAACTCCAGAAAAAAGATGGTAAGAACATGATGATACCCAATACTGACCAATGACTTGATGTATCCCTTACCCCATGCTGAGTAACCACTCAACATTTCTGTTTACTCCCTATATGTTTTAAGGGTTTAACTGAAGTTAATTATTACTGCACTGAACATGTTTTTATTAAGCACCAACCACATACACTGTTAACACATTTAACTGGAACCAGGTGAAGTGACATGTATATTTTTACTATTTAAATACGTTTAATTAAAAGCTGTTCTTTGTGAAACAAGAAAATCAAATCATAAGGCAATAACTAAACAATGGGAACACCTTTTACTTTTTAAAAAAATGTCTTCCTTACAGAAAAAAAAAAACACCTGTAAATAGTAATCCACATCCTCAAAACTAAAGATGTGTAAAATTTTTATTTTCCACACACTGATAACAGATTTTCAGTGTAAAGTGAGGAAGGAAGCTCTGTGGAGACAAGCTGGTTGGTGGAGGCATGCGAGAGTGGTGCTCAAATCCAAGGAACTAAAATTGCTTATTTGCCGGTCATCGTTCTTTGACAAGAAAATTGTACACAAGCCCCTTTCCACTCACCACTATTCACTTTTAGTAAAAAACAGCTGACTTTGCCAAATGAGTCACTTTCTCACTGTCAGAACAGACTTAAACAGCAGTGCCAACAGTTGTAAATCATCAAGACAAGCAAAGCACATTTGAAAAACATACAAACAACTGAACTTTTTGTGGCAGACATTATAACAGCAATTTATGGAAATGTGTTGATGTTTGTATTTTATATTTAGTCTTACACCAGTTTGTTATCATTGATTGAAATACTGAATGTAGAAGCTTTAGAATCTAAAAGGGCTTTTCTAACGAAAATTACAAACATATCAAAGGAAAAGCACAAATACGATGTTCTCCAGAAATAGTGTCGCAGAAATAAAGACAGAATATGGAAGGAGACAGGATTGCTGACTAATCTCATATGTACAGGGAGAACGACACTCCATGCAGCTTAGCTCCAACATATGAGCGTGGGACAGAAAAGCAAGGTGAACCTAAAGACATCCCATGGACACACTGAGCTGGAACCAACTCTGCCCATAGGTGGTGGGGCCAGGTTCAGATGCTTGCAGTAACCGCATCCTCCTGTGAATCTGGGTCTACATGGCTGTGGCTCCCTGGGGGCTACCCACACTGTGGATTCCACAGGTGATGGTGACCTTCTTGGGCACTGCTGGGACACTTCCTGGGCCTGCCTGGGCAGTGGTAGGGCTCAGAGAACTTCAGCGTTAGGGCCTTGGGGAGTCTATGTCAGACTTGAGGACCAAGCCTGGGCTCACAAATGACAACTAGGCTACTATTTTTACAAAGTATTTTAAATGGGGAAAAAGCCATTATTTTTTGGTTGTGGGTTTTACACTGTCAGGTAAATAAAAATGTACAAGTAGAGAAGAAAGATGAATGCTTCTGAAATTTAAATTTGACACATTAAAATGTTAATAAAGGAGTATTTAATTTATAAATCTTTCTATTCTGCATGTGTCAACTACATTTCATAGCAATCAACTACATGTCATAGCAAACATGTTCTCTTTTTATAACCTTCAAGACAAACATCACCTACTCTGACTTAAAAACAAGGGAACCTGCCCAACAACTTGATTAAAAAATGTCAAACAACTTCAACAGACACTTCTCCAAAGAAGAGACACAGCAGCCAATAAGCGCATGAAAAGATGCTCCACATCACGAATTGTTAGGTAAATGCAAATTAACACTACAATGAGATACTACCTCACGCTCATTATGAGGCTACTGGCAAATTAAAAAAAAAAAGTTTAACAAGTGTTGACATGGATGTGGGGAAACTGGATCCTTCATGCAATGTTGGTGGAAATGGAGGATGATATAGCTACTATAGGAAACAGTATGGAGGTTCTTCAAAAAATTAAACACAGAATTACCATATGATCCAGCAATTCCACTTCTGGGTATATATTCAAAAGAACTGAAAGCAGAGAATGAAAGATACTTGTATACCCACGTTCATAGCAGTATTACTTGCAACAGATAAACATGGAAGCAACCCACATGTCCATCAGTGGATGAATAGATAAGCAAAATGTGGTGTACACTATACACAATATGGAACATTATTCAGTCTGAAAAAGGAAATGCTGACACATGCTACAATAGGGCTGAAACTTGAGGACGTTACGCTGAGATAAGACAGTCACAAAAGGACACATACTGTCTGATTTGACTTATATGAGGTACTCAGAAAAGTCAAATCATACAGACAGAAAATAGAAAGCCAGTTACCAGGTCTGGGGGTGCTGGAGAATGAAAAGTTAGCGTTTAATGGGGACAGAGTTTCAGTGTGGGAAGATGTAAAAGTTCTAGAGATGGATGGTGGTAATGGTTGCACAATAATGTGAATGTACTTAACACCACTGAACTGTACATTTAAAAATGGTTAGGATGGCAATTTTATGTTATGTGTATTTTGCTGCAATTAAAGATAAACAGGGTGCAAGAGAGGAGAGGAAGTAGCAGCTTGTCTTGTTCATGCTGTCTGAGGTGCATGTCGGAGGGATGGGGTGGGGGCGGGAAGTGTTAAAAACAAAGAACAGAACATTATACAACACAAGCGGAAAACACAGGGCACAAATGCACTTGTATAAAACACAGAGTTTCCATAAACTTAAAACATGTCTGAATGATGGAGCTAACAGCCCTTAACTCCCCACACCCAGGCTGCACCACAGCATATGTCACCCCCTTGCTTGCAAATGTGCCCAAAAGGCAATGACATTCCAAGTTTCCTCTGACAAGCCCAAGGACAGGGCATGAGTTTTCCAAGTTCCTTTCCATTCAAGAAAAGGAAGAGAAGAGAATAGAGAAGAATCAACAAAACATCTCCAAATAGAAGTAAACGAGAGCCAAGAACGGAACTATTTCTCATAATTAAACCCCAATTTCTATAAATTACAATCCTCATTCTAGTGATGACCTATAATAAGATTTGCATTTTCCTCTGATGGTATTTTCCTTAAGAGATGGATAACAAGGTCTTAATCTTCATCTCCCAGACCACTCTAGGGTTCTAAGCACAGGCTTTACAGAAATGTGCTGTTATGGGCCATCATCTTCAAATCATTTCCACACAAGTCTAGGAAAATAAGACAGGCTAGGATAAGCCTCCGGTTTTTAAAATTGCTAATCAAGGGCATCAGTTCTTAACTATATTGCTGTAAGATATGTCACAAAACTTTTGTTACCAGTAAGAAAAATGACCAACATTTGTGAATGATTTAATTTTTAATAATTATTAAAGTACTACACTACACATAATAAAAAATAATACATACTCATAAACTCAACTTCCCTGAGTTGCCAGTAGGAAGCAACCCTGCCGAGCCCTTGATTTTGGATTTCTGGCCTCCAGAATTGTGAGGACATACATTTCTGTGGTTTTAAGCCACCGAGTTTGTGGTTATGGAATCCCAGAAAATGAATAAAATTATCTATCTTTTCAAGCTACTTCAGTTTGATATTGATTATGAAAGGTACATATATGCTATCAAACAGAAGAGACTTTAGGGAGAAAAAATCTCGCATAAATGCAACAAGTTGCCATGACTCTAAGTGCCAAGGTCATATAACATGCAGACTGTGATAATTTCACCAAAACCAAAACAAAGTGGAACAAATCCTCAAACACAGTTGCTGATAATTCCCACCCTGGCCTCCTCTGACATTTCCTTTGGATCAATTTGGCTGCACCTCTTCTGTCAAGCAGGAGCTGGAGGACATTTTGGTCAGCTCCTCCCCAGAAGGGAGCTACAATCTCTGCTCTAACAATCCCCAATTGTTGTCTTAAGTTAGACTGTGTTCATCAATGGCTACCTACTAAACTTAGCTTTTTATCTGTACATTTTCCAATCAGGTCGTATTATTTTCTCCTGGTAGGCAAATGTTTACATTTATCCATTTTCCTGATATAAAGCTACTTCGTATCAGTGTGTTATTAGTCTCTAATTATAAGAAGATAATCCAGAAGAGAAAGTCCAGTCAATTTTATATAAGTTAAAAAAAAGATGTGAAACCTATTTTCAGAATTAACATTTCCTTCCTAAATATCTAACACAACACACAGAAGAGAAAGTCCAGTCAATTTTATATAAGTTAAAAAAAAGATGTGAAACCTATTTTCAGAATTAACATTTCCTTCCTAAACATCTAACACGACACACTTACGGACTCTTAACACACCCTTCTTACACGAAGGGAGCAGCAGAGCAGAGGGCGGCAAGAGCACCAAGGCCAGGTGGAGCCACTGCCTATGTGGGCCCATCTCATTCCGCAGGGAGAAGCAACCGCACTGTGCACAGAGTGCAATCTGGCAGAAGGGAAACGCCGTCTTAAAGAGCTTCAGATGCAGCAACCTCGAGGAAGGGCTGTGCCAGAAAGTCCACCAGATGAGGCCGCAAACCTATCAAAGGGCATCAGACACTCTGTGCACAGGGTACACAAAACAATGCCTCCCACATTCTGTGACTTCCTGCGTGTGCCACTTGGACCACCACACTCCCTACCTGCACCATCTTACCTGGACAGACTAAATCTCAGCCACCTCATGACTAGGATATTAACATGGCTTCCAGTTCTATAAATTCCTCCCCCTTAAGAATGCATGTCCAGAAATGATGAAAACTGGACTTGTGAGTAGCTTTGTAGTAGGGATTACAGGTCCAGAATAGAATAGGTTCAGTAACATATTTAAGATATTTAAGGGAAAAAATATAAGCCAAAGATTTAACATCTAAATAGTGACTATCAAGGGTAAAAGTCACACATATTTTTTATGAGTACACACAAACACAGGAAGTACAGTGACCAGGAGCTGAGGGATGACCCACTAAAGAATAAGCTCCAGAAACCAAAATGACTAGAGGCAGATGCAAAGGTGAGCTGCAGGTGGTCTGTATTTATCTGTGGAGCTGCTGGCACATGACGGTGATAAAAGTGCAGCATGCCATGGTTACCAGCTTGGACAATGCAGACAAAGAACAACCACCAGAGAAGTGGTAGGGGCGGGCAGAAGATGTGCAGGAGCCAACTGGGACTGGGGTGTCCATCAGCTAACTGCAGTATCAGGTACTATGGGGAGCCAACCAAAGAAACTAAGTGTTTGCTATAAAGGCATTAGGATAAAAGTGGGAAAAAAAAGGGAGGAAGAAAGCCCTCTTAAATACCAAAAGGGTAAAAGCAAATAAAATAGAACAAGGTGGTTCCCTGTTATCTGTGATGTAAAAAATGGACTTGGCTCACCTATTAAATGGAAAACAGTCTTGGATTGGCTCACAAAGCAAAATCAAACACCATACTGCATATAAGATATACAGCTATAAAAGGCTGGGAAAATATATAGAGAATTTATAGGACTCAGAAAAAAAGTAACTGTCACAGGAAACTTTATAGCATTAAATACCTATATCAACACAAATTTAAATAATAAAAATAAATTATTTAAACATATAACTGAAAAAGCCAGAAAAAGAATAAGTGAACCAAAAGAAAGGGGTGAATTATTACAAATAAAAGCAGATATTATTAAGTAGAAAAAGAATAGAACTAAGAAGTAAATCCAAAAGCTGGCTCTCAAGAGAAAATAATCAACCAAAACAAACCACTAGGTATCTGATTAGAAAAAAAAAAAATAAGAAAGTTACAAGTGCTAACAGAAGAAAACTTAAACATTGTAAAAGATAAGGAAAAGAAAGGGATAGAGAGAAAAATGTGTAGATTAAAAGAGACTTTAAAAACATATCAAATTTTAAGAATAAAACAACACTAAACTATAGTGTCTAGGGATATACACTTGGTGATAAAACTATAAAGATTAGGGAAATGATTACCATTAAGAGTTTGGGAAGTGGTTATTTTTGAGGAGAGGAAGTAGGTTATAATAGAAATGGGACATGTGGTGGGCGCTTCTGGGATGATTGATAAAGTTCTATTCCTTGACCTGGGTGTGGTTACAAGGATGTTTCCTTTATAAAAATGAAGAAAAACATTAAAAAATCATTACAGGCAACTTTATAAAACTCTTTGCAGTAAGTTAGAAGTAGATGAAACATTTTTAAAAAATATTAAATTTAATGCTATTCCAATACAAAATCAAGTTTTTTTCTTAGAGCTAAACAAGTTAATTATAAAATGCATTTAAGAACAAGAAGAAACTATCCTAAAATTCATATGGAATGAAAAGAGAGCCCAAATAGCCAAAGCAATCCTAAGCAAAAAGAACAAAGCCAGAGGCATCACACTACTCAACTTCAAACTATACTATACAGCCCCAGTAACCAAAACAGCTTCTGTACTGGTACAAAAACAGACTCACAGACCAATGAACAGAACAGAAAACTCAGAAATAAAGCCACACACCTACAACCATCCAATCTTTGACAAGGCCAGCAAAAGCAGCAGTGGAAAAAGACCATCCTATTCAATATATGGTGTTGGAATAACTAGCTAGCCACATACAGAAGACTGAAGCCAGACCCCTACCTTTCACCATATACAAAAATTAACTCAAAATATATTAAAGATTTCAATGTAAGACCTCAAACTGTAAGATCCTGGAAGATAACCTAGGAAATACTCTTCTTGACGTTGGCCTTGGCAAAGAATTTTTGGCTAAGTTCCCAAAAACAATTGCAACAAAAACAAAAATTGGCAAGTAGAACTTAACTAAATGAAAGAGCTTCTGCACAGCAAGAGAAACTATTGACAGAGAATACAGACAACCTACGGAATGAGAGAAACTATTTGCAAACTATGCATCTGACAAAGGCCTAATATCCAGAATCTACAGGGAACTTATGCAAAAAAACAAACGACCCCATTAACAAATGGGCAAAGGAGTGAGCGGAAATTGCGCCACTGCACTCCAGCCTGGGCGTCAGAGTGAGACTCCGTCTCAAAAAAAAAAAAAATGGGCAAAGGACATGAACAGGCACTTCTCAAAGAAGATATATAAGTGGCCAACAAACATGAAAAAGGCTCAGTACCACACAGCATTAGAGAAATGCATCAAAACCACAATGAGACACCATCTGACACTAGTCAGAATGGCCATTACTAAAAAGTCAAAGACAACAGATGCTGGCAAGGCTGAGGAGAAAACAGAATGCTTATACACTGTTGACAGGAATGTAAATCAGTCCAGCCATTGTGGGAAGTGGTCTACAGATTTCTCAAAGAACTTGAAATAGAACTACCATTCTATCCAGCAACCCCATTACTGGGTATACATCCAAAAGAAAATAAATCATTCTACCAAAAAGACACAGGCACTCACATGTTCATTGCTGCGCTATTAACAATAGTAAAGACACAGAATCAACCCAGGTGCCCATCAATGGTAGACTGGATAAAGAAAATGTGGCACCTATACATCATGAAATACTACACAGCCATAAAAAAGGAATAAAATCACACCCTTTGCAGCAACATGGATGGAGCTTGACTTAATTCTAAGCAAATTAATGCAGGAACAGAAAACCAAATACCACATGTTCTCACTTATAAATGGGAGCTAAACATTGAGCACACATGGACACAAATATGGGAACAACAGACACTGGGGACTACTAGAAGGTAGAGGGAGTGGGGGTGGGTTAAAAACAACTACCTATTGGGTACTATACTAACTAGGTGACAGGATCTGTACTCCAAACCCCAGCCTCATGCAATATTTTCATGTAACAAATCTGTACATGGACCTTCTGTATCTAAAATAAAAGGAGAAGAAGAACCAGTAAGCACAAATAACCAGACAACTCTGAGTAAGAACCACAATGGTGAAGACTCTAGCCCCAGCTGACATGAAAACACAGTATTAAGCCTCTCTATTTACATCAGTGTGATGAGGGAAGTCCATGAAGACAGAGAGAAAACCCTGTAGCCCCAATTGCCCATGGAAATTTAGTATGGGAAAAAGAGATATCTCAACACAGCAGGAAAGGGGCTTTTCAGTTAGTAGTGCTGCTGCAGTAACTGGACAGCTACTGCACAAAGACACAAACAGATTTGTTCCTCACGTCATGCTCCAAGATAAATTCCAAATGGAGCATAAGTTCTCTTCTCTCTCCTGAGGCATAATTCATATACAGCAGAATAGACTTTTAAGTACAGTTCAGGGAGTCCTGACCTGTGTACCTCCTGTAACACATACCCAATCAAGACACCATAGAAAGCTCCATATAGCTATTAAGTCAATCACCAGGGAGGCTCACCACTCTGCCTCTCCTTGGGAGCTAAGAGGTAAGCCACCATCATGAGTCCTGTGCTGACGCAGGCCCCAGACATGACTGACAGCACAGTCAGACTACGTGATGTCTCTGGCTTGCCTATTAATTTTCTTAATGATGACTTAAGAAGACTTTTAAAGATGATTTTAGACTTGCACAAGAGTTTCAGAGGCAGGACACACGGTGTCCCCAAGTTTCCACCCACCTTCATGCAGCCATAGAACAAGGATCAACACCAGAAGAGGAACTCTGGCATGGTACTCCCAGCTCAACCACAGGCTTTGCTGTTTTGCCAGGCCACCCACCAGAGCCTGTCTGCTGCTGGGCCCAGTCCAGGATCCACACTGTACTTAGCTGACACACTTCCATGGCCCCCCATGCCAGAAGAGTTTGTAGTCTCCTCTCATCACCTTGAAGAGTACTGGTCAATTATTTTGTAGAATGTCCTTCAAATTGGGTTTGTCTGCTGTTTTCTCCTGATTCAGCTTAGGGAAAACCACCACAGATGATGTGCCACTCACACAGCACCACATCACAGGTACCTGCTGCCAATATGATGCCACCTTTGAGTTCTTGGTTGGGGCTGTGTCTGCCAGGTTTCTCCACTGTAAAGTATTGTTCCCTTTGTAATGAATAGCTATTTGGGGGGAGACTTGGCAGATAATTCTATTTCTCCTAATTCTTTCACCTGTTAGATTTCACCTTGCTGCATCTGTCAAGGGACTGTGCTTATAACAATTATCATGGTGATTTTCTATTTCCCTTATTCCTTCTACATTTATTAACTGGAATTTTACAAGGAAGAACTGTTCCTTATCCCTCACTTATGCATTCATTTATGTATTGATATCAGCCTAAATGGATGGCTATTTCTTTTCTTTTTTAGGTTGTAATCCATTACTACTGTTGTCTATCCTGTGGCTCGAACTGCTCCAGCTTTGGCCAATGCAGCACTTTTTGACGGACATCTACCCTTCTGATATCTGACAGGCTGCCATCACTCACCTTTCATTTGCCCTACCCCAGCCCTGGAACCAACCCCTTCCCTGAGGAGCCCTTAGGATCCACCATCTCAGGCTGGCTCTGGTCACTGATGCAGGTGTCACTGCTCTAAGGCCCTCTGTCGACAGACTTAGAAAACAGATGTGTTACACTAACTCACACATGCATAGACCCACATTTCTCTCTCTCTGAAAAAACCAACAGCCCTAGTTCATGCTGACACCTCCAACCCTGATCCAGAACCACAGGATAACTCTAGCACCATCCTTCCTTATTTGTAACTTCTTCCTAGAATACGTACAGTTTTGAGATTGCTAACCCATGCCCCTATGAGAAACAAGTGCACTAACCAGAGGTTTTATCTTTAGCCTTACAGCATCCTGTCAAAACACTGTTTTCCAAAGTTACTGATAGGTCAGCTAATTCCACATCCATTTCACTATGGTTATGGCAGCATTCCCTAACCGTTTTGGCACCAAGGACCAATTTCTTAGAAGACAGTTTTTCCACAGACTGGGGCGAGGAGGGGGGATGGTTTCAGGATGAAACTGTGCCACCTCAGATCATCACACTAACATCATAGTTAGAGTCTCAAAAGGAGTGAGTGAGCAACCTAGATCATTCACATGCACAGTTCACAATAGGGTTCATGCTCCTATGAGAATCTAATGCTGCTGCTGACCTGACAGGAGGCAGAGCTCAGGCAGTAATGCTTGCCTGCCCTCTGCTCACCTCCTGCTCTGTGGCCCAGGTCCTAACAGGCTACGGACAGGTACCGATCCGTGGCCTAGGGGTTGGGGACCCCTGGATTATGGGATAAGTTTGTAATACCATTTGATTCATCTGTCACAGTTTGTATCACTTGGGCACTCCCCCCAGTAACACACACACAAACATCTTTGTTGATTTTAGTGAAATTTTGTGGTGCACAGTTCCATGGGTTTTGACAGGTGCACAGTCAAATCTAACACAGTCCCATCACTCCCCAAACTGCCTCTCGCTCTCTTTGTAATCAACTCCTTTTCCCCAACTCTTAACCCCTGGCAACCACTGATTTGTTCTTCTTCCTTATGGTTGTGCTTTTTCTAGAGCATCCTTTAAATAGAATCATACAGTATGGAGGCCTTTTAGGTTTGGTTTCTTTCACTAAACAAAACGAATTTAAGATTCATCCATGTTGTGGGAATTAATAGTTTGTTCCTTTTGACTTTTGAGTGGTATTCTGCTGTAGAGATGTTACCACAATTTGTTTATTCATTCACCAGTTGAAGGATATCTGATTTTGAGTGTTGGCAATTACTGAATAAAACTCTATTAACAGTCACATGCAGGTTTTGTGTGAGCATGAATTTTCACTTACCTTGGGTAAACACCTAGAAGTGAGACTGCCAGGTCCTAAGGCAGTGTAACACAGTAAGAAGCTGCCACACTGTTTTCCAGAGTGGCTGTGCCATTCTGCATTCCCAGTAGCAGGATTGGAGAGCATATTCCTGCCAGCACTTGGCACTGTCCTTGCCAGCACTGGGATGCTTCGTGATTGTTCTTTCATCTTAGCTACTGATGTAGGCCTGTGCTGGTACCTTATGAAGAAGGTGCACAGCCTTCCAAATCACCTAGGCCCACTGTGGCAGTCTCATTCCCCAGAACATACTGTTATATCTCTAGCTGGTCAGCTGCTTGCCCCAAATGGTACTGTGGCCTTAGGCTAGCTGCAGTGTTTACCTTCCGGATTGCTTGCATTTGTTTCCCTAACAATAAATTATGTTGGGCATCACATGCTTATTTTTCTCTGCTTATTTGCATGGGCTTCTCTGCAATCCATGCAAGTTGTTTGGTGAAGTACAGGTTCACCAAAACTATTCCCCAATTTTTTACTGGGCTGTTTTCTTATTGTTGAGTTTTAAGTGTTCTTTATTATTCTGGATACTAACCCTTTGTCAGATATGTGACTTACAAATGTGTTCTCTGAGAGTAGAATTTTAAAATTTTGATAAAATGCAAATTATAGATTTTTTTCTTTTATGGATTGTGCTTTTGGTATCATATCTAAAAACTCTGCCCAAGATCATGCAGACTTTCCTTTGGGTTTCTTCCATAAGTTCTACAGTTTTACATTCTACATTTAGGTATATGATCCATTTTGAGTTCATTTTTGTATAAAATGTGAGCTGTACAGGTTATTTATTTATTTATTTATTTTTGCATATACACATCTAGTTTTCTAGTCCATTTGTTGACAAGATTACACTTTCTCCATGGAATATATTAAGAGGTGCCTTTACACCACTGTCAAAAATAAACCAACCATATCTGTATGGACTTATCTGGGGTCCTCTGTTCTGTTCCACTGACCTGTGTATCTATCTTTTCACCAATACCACATACCACTCTCTTGATTGTGGTGATTTTACATTTTATAGTAAATCTTGTTCTTTTTTCTTTTTCAGATGGAGTTTTGCTCTTGTTGCCCAGGCTAGAGTGCAATGACAGGATCTCTGCTCACCGCAACCTCCACCTCCCAGGTTCAAGTGATTCTCCTGACTCAGCTTCCTGAGTAGCTGGGATTACAGGCACCTGTCACCATGCCCGGCTAATTTTTTTTTTTTTTTTGTATTTTTAGTAGAGACAGGTTTTCACCATGTTGGCCGGGCTGGTCTTGAACTCCTGACCTCAGGTGATCTGCCCGCCTTGGCCTCCCAAAGTGTTGGGATTACAGGCCTGAGCCACCACGCCCAGCCGTTGCTCTGCCTTTCTAATGATGACTTTAGGTATAAGTTTTTAATATAAAGTTTATCTTTTTTTCTTTCACAGCTTGTGGTTTTTGTGTGGTAAGCAATCTGCCTACTTTACATTGTGAAAATATTATTTTCTTCTTAAAACTTTACAGTTTTAGCCTTTTACAGTTCATTCTACAATCCATCTAAAATTAATGCTATGTCCACAGTAAGAGTGAGTAGTAGAGTTTCATTTTTCCTTGCATGTTTATCCAGTTGAAAAAATCTTTCCCTTCCCAACTGAACTATGTTGGTTGAAAAAACTTTGATTTCTCCTGTTGTTGCACTGTGCATCCTAGTGTTTTGTAAATTAACTATTCTTATCTTCTTAGTTTTTTATAAGTGTAAACAGGGGAAATATAATTATAATTTCTTTTAAAAGAGCTCTCTTACTTAATAAAGAAACAGGCTGGGCACGGTGGCTCACGCATGTAATCCCAGCACTTTGGGAGGCTGAGGCGGGTGCATCACCTGAGGTCAGGAGATCAAGACCATTCTAGTCAATATGCCAAAACCCTGTTTCTACTAAAAATACAAAAATTAGCCAGGTGTGGTGGTGGGTGCCTGTAGTCCCAGCTACTCAGGAGGCTGAGGCAGGAGAATTGCTTGAACCCAGGAGGCACAGGTTGCAGTGAGCCGAGATCACGCCACTGCACTCCAGCCTGGGTGACAGAGCAAGACTCCATCTCGGAAAAAAAAAAAAAAAAAAGAACAAACGAACGAACAAAAGGAAGGACAGGAAAGGGAAAGGAAAAGAAATAAAATGTCTAATGTTTTTTGCCCACCAAACTAGTTAAAGTAATTACAAAGACAAGGCTGCTGTAAACACCTTGTGCACTGTCCCCACAACGCAGATGGCATGGGAGCAGACAGCACCTTTAGATGAAGACACACATGCAGCCTACACAAGGCACACAGATGCATTTCAGCCATTATTCCCTCATGATGAAACCCTCCCCTTGTGCAGTGTGTAACCTGAACTGACACACACACATCTTGGGTGAAGTGTGAAGTAATGGGAATCTGTGTACACTACTATTCAGAGTATAAACTGGTGCAAAATTACAGAAGGTAATGTGGCAATACTACAATTTTAAATATACAATTCTATTAGGAACTTAGATTTCATAAGTATTCACACAAGTATGCAAAGAGATATTCACAGATGACCCATGCTATACTACCAGAAATAATGAAAAGTGGGAAATAGCCAAAATGATGTCAGTGGAAGCTTGGACAAATAAGTTATGGTATACCTAAACAATGAAATGCCATCATTAAAATGAATGAGGAACTCAATGCACACTGACATGGAACAACTTCCAGGAAATACAAGTGGAGGAAAAGGATGAACATGCAATGCATTAGGAGAACATGCTGACACCACCTCACTGGAAAGGGAAAGAGGTGCATGACCTGTGACACTGTGGTTCTGTTCCTAGGCACAGACCCAAGGACCCTGTGCAAGGCAATGCAGATTTAGATGCTATTTCAGTTAATGGAACTCTACCTTCCAGCTGCTCAGGCCAAAGTCTTAGTCTCACCCCTCGACCCTCCTACTGCACCATACACATTCCATGTGTCAGTTCCACCTGCAGAATACACCCAGGATTTGAGCCCTTCCTCATCCACCACCTCCTTTCTCTCCAAGCCATGATCATTTCCCATGGAGGTTAACCCAAGCCTCTTAAGAATTGGTCCACTTGCTTCTGTCCTGCCTCTTGGAAGTCTGTTCTTAACACAGTAGCCAGAATAATCCTGTTAAAGCATAGGCCTGAACAAATCACTCCTCTGCTCAAAACCCTGACTCCCTACTTCACTCAGAAAAGCCCAAGTCCTTACTATGACAACAGGTACTTCACAGCTGGGACCCAGTCAGGCTGGGATCTTGTCTCCTACCGGCCCCGCTTCTGGGCTCCCCTTATCCATGCTGGAACCCTGCTGTCCCTGAATATGCCAGATGATGTACTCCTGCCTTGAGGTCTTTGCACTTTTTCTTTCCCTGCCGGGGAGGCCCTGCCCTCAGACATCCATTCATCCTGCTCTCATTGCCTAAGGTTTGCTTCCACAGATGGCTTCTTAGAGGCCACTCTCTGTAGATCTTCCTCTAACACCACCCATCCTTAGCATTTCTTATCTCCCACATACTATCACAATTACTACACTGTGGAACTCATCTTGTCCACTGCCTATCTGTTTCACCAGAATGCAAGCTCCATCAGACATGGGTTTTCATGTTTCATTTATTGCTGTATCCTGACACCATAGCACATAGTAAATCCTTAATATATTGTGGACTAAACAGGTGTAACAGTATGTGTAATAATAAGACGAGAGACATCTCTAAGTCTGGCTCCTGGGTAGATTTTATCTACCCAACAAAGGAGTAGAGGTAGGACTCCGGCCCATGCCATTTCCAAGGAAACCCTTTCTGGAGGGGTGGGGAAAGCTGTGTCCTTCCCATCAAGAGCAAAGAAAAGCCACTACCACTTATGTAGGAAAAATCCCTATGACTCTACCCCTGGGGGTAATCAACAGGCAAAGGGCAACACACTTACTGTTCCCTGTGAGATAATTAACAAAAATAAGCCTCTGTTCAGAATATCTCAGGTGTTCTGGACAAAAAATAAAGATTCAGGATAAAGTTAATGAAGATGAAAATTTTAAATCAACTTAAGGTTCTGAGAAAAAGTCTGATGGCTCTGGATTTCCTGGTGACACAAGAGATCCGGTTGTTTTGAAAAGATGGAGAAGGAGTATGTAGGGAGCCGAACATCAGAGGAGAGTGAAGGAGTTTGAAATATTGATAACACAAAGAGGAGTAGAGCAGGCCAACCAAGCAAACACAGTGGGGCTGTGGGCCGCATGGGGGCCCTACAGGCACATAGCAGATGACCAAGAAACATCAGTTTACAGAATAGTGGAAGAATAAATGAGTGAGCAAGTGAAAAGAGCAAATAAATGAGTGGGTGAACAGGGAGGAGCAAGCAATGGGAGAATAAATTCAGCAGAAAGCAAGTGAGTGAATTGATGATGTCCCCACTGTGTTCTCTGGTGTGAATCTTCTTTCTTATATTTCTTAGCTGCTCATGTGTTGGTTCATTCAGGGTTGGGAATATGCCGTTTGAGTGTGTTTTTTAAAAAAAGACTGGGATGGAGTTTAGGGTAGCGGCAAGAGTGTTACTGAAACAATGGATCATGGAATAGAAGCTGGACAAAAGGAGACATGATAAAAAGAAGGTTGATAGGGTAGAAAAAATAAGGCAACGGTTGAGGTGGTAGTCAGGAAATCTGGAAGGTGAGAAGATTACGCTTAAGGACTGGGATGCCCGAATTCATGAGTCTGGACCATGGGAGTGGGTGGCTGAGACAGAGAAGAGAAGAGGAGAGGAGAGAAGCAGATCCTAGGAACAAAGAGGACAGTACTAAGGCCAGAGGCTGTGAGTCCCACAGGTGGACACTGAAACCACCAGGCAACAGCAGGGACTGGGGTGGAGAAAATGACCACGATTCTTTGCAGACTCTGACATCTGGTGAGCATGACTATGCAGGAGGTGACTGTGCAGAAAAGGATCTGAGCTAGAAAAGGGGAACTTCACCCTTCACGTTCTATGCTTCAGGACTGCATGAATTTTCTGTTGTTTTTCATTTACAAAGAGCACATGTTGCTTTATAATTGACAAAACCCACAAATTTGGGGAAGAGATAATATTAAAGTCAGAGAAAAGAGTTTACAATCCAGAGAAAATCATTAATTTAAGAAGCACTAACAAATACTGCTTGAAACAGTGCTGAGTCTGACACTGAAATTAATTTTCTTTTTCTTTCCAGTCACTAAAGAAAGGGTATCAGGAAGGCCATCTGGATTTTTGCTGAAACCTGTAACAATACTCTAAAGATCCTAAGGGGAAAATGCCAATGTGCTAACAAGGATATTTACTTAAATGGATACAGGATGTCTCCTCTCCAAGGTACAGTGGCTTTCGAGCCCAGTACACACTTCAAGGGCTAGAAGGATCCCCTGAATTCTCTATCCCTCATGGTAACCAGAGACTATGTTCACATTCTCATAAGGGAACCAAAAATGTAGCTTCTTCTATCTTGTTTCCTTGGGGGATGCACAATTTAAAAATGCTTTTTATAGAATTCCATTATCTTGGGATATCCTGGGAACTACTAGAGTTGAAGATAATTTTGGTAGAACCTTAAAATACGATGGCCCCCATTGCTAAGCCCACTGAGAACCAAATTACCAAAGTAAGTGTTAAGACATTCAAATTTGAATAGAAAATATAATGTTTTATGAGGTATAAAAAATAATGCAATAAAAAAGATTTAGAAAATTCAATGCAAAGAACCCAGAAGCATCTCTGCCAAGACTGAGCTGAATGCATTATGTTTGACTACACACTCCCTTGTCAAATGTCAACTTCATAAAAGACAAGGAACAATTTCTTATATATCCTCAACAGTGCCTATAGTTATACTGAAATAACTATAGGCAATTACAGTGCCCATAATAACACTGAAATCCGATGGAAAAAGTTAGAAATTCTTAAAGATATATAGTATCTAGACACTCTTCTTCAATATCTTTCCTTTATAGGAATCATACAATTTCTGTCGTCAAACATAAAACTGAGTGGCAGGAACACTATGCTGGAGAGAAGACCCAGCCAGATTATTTACTTACACCATTTCCCCAGCTGAACCCTCAGAGTCCTTCTCAGGGCCACCCTTTTGGCTAGTCCAATCAATCTGTGACTCACTCTTTTACTGATCCTGACCCTCTGTCCAGCTATGCAGACATCACCATAGGCAGCACTCAACATTTCTCACCTGTCTACTGAAACCCTTAACTGGCTGTCCTCTCTTCAATCTGGACCCCAGCTGATCTACCTTCTATTCTGAATCAACAGCCTAATAAAAGGCTTCCTTAGGTCAGGGTTAAGATGAATCCTCTGTCCATCAAACTATGTTTAAACCTCAGTAATATCATGAATGTTGCTTGAAAGAGCAGCTTAATCAAGGATTCAGAGTATGAACTGGCTGGCTTCCCCCAGATCAACCATGTTGAATTGCTTAATTTCTTCCCTATGTTCTCTAAACTTTGAATACTAAAATGAGTTGAAAAGTAAGCAGAAGGATACTAAAGGCCTATTTTCCCGCACGTTCACAAAAAAGAAAATTAACAAAGTGACGTAGAATCTTGATTACCTAAATTATTTTTACTATAGTTCTTTTTCTAAGTTTTGAAAGCCCACCTTAAATCAAAGAATTAGGGGTACTATGTTTCTCAAAGACATGTGGGGGAAAGAGAAGGTCATTTATATAGTGATTTTAAATGGTGATTACATATGGTCTTATCTTTTTAAAATCAATTTTAGGTTCAAAGTTAAGCGGTTTTTCCTTCCAGAGAAAGGATATATTAAACATCTGCTGCAGTTTCAGGTCACCAACAGCCTCTACCCACAGGTTTGGATTTGCATTTTGGTAGGAACGGACAGAAGTCCCAGGAAGATGAACGAAAGATGAACGAAATGGCAGAGTAGGAAGCCGGGGCGGTCCCAGTACTGCAAAGCAACTAGGTGGGGTAAAAGGTGGTGCTGACTAGTTCTCGCTCACTGTGCCCCACAAAGGGTAGCCAGGGTTGCTGTCATAAAACCTTTTTGCGCAGGGACGCTTGTGTTAGCAGCCATTGATTCAAAGGGGTGGATCTGTAGGTAAGTTTGGGGGAAGGGGAAAGGGAGACAGAGGGGTAGCCAGTTATGCAAAGAAAACATATCTCGACTGTATTCTCTAATTTTATGTGTGCAGCGCAAAAAAAAAACAATTCTCAGACATTTAAAATGTGTTTGAGATGATGGGAAAAAGAATACATGAGGGAAAAAAACAAATTCCCACAAATTCCTCACCGCAGATGCAGCAGTAACACTGTACTTCAAGCATTACAGCTTTTTTTAAATTGACATTCTGTAATATATCTCCCCATCCTAAAATCCACATTTAATAGTGGCTATTGGGAGTAAATGTGAGACACCTAACATTTCTAGATACAGCCAACCAACTTTAAATTTTAAAAAAATTGCCGTAAAAAATAGTAAAAATGACCTAGAGAATTCATAACTGTATAACATTATGCAATACCAACAGCATAATTACAAGCTTTAAATAAGTTTTACAGCTATCAACATTAAATACATCTTAGTGTGGCAGAGAACTGCTACAATATAAGTTTAACAAATATTATGTGTTATCCTCACTGTAACAAAAATAGAAAATTAATTTCTGCTTCAAATACTGCAAAAACCAGTCTCTGGTCTAAAGTTACTAAACTTCTGTCAGAAAAACATATGGCCCATCAAGCACACAGTTGATAATTACACAAATGTAAAATAATATACAATAAATGACTAGACCCATGACATTCTAGAGGAGGCTATCTCAAGACCTTCCTAGCCCTCCAAATTCTCAAACACCACTGTGGTAGACACTGTAGTCATCATACGATAGCCACCTACCCTGGTTCTGTGCTCATGCAGTCTCTGGTTTTTATCTGGACACACGGCTGGGCCACAACCCCCAGCCTCCCTTGCACTAGTGCTCTAGCCAACAAGGTGTGGGCAACGTGATGCATGTAACTTTTGGGCTGTGCCACTGAAACACAGGTTGTGTCTCACCAACCCCACCTACCCTTCGGCCTGAGTGCAAATGTGGAAGGTAATACACCGTTTTGGACCATGCAGGTAAGGCTGCACTCTTGGGATGGCAGAGCAACAAGACAGACTGTGCTTGGCCCCTTGACAATGTTACGAGCAAAGTCATCATGCCAACTCAGGCTTTCAAGGGAGAAAAACTGATTTGTCTTGTGTAAGACACTATTATTACATTTCTGATACATGCCACCAAAACTGTGTATTTTAATTTCCTCAGGTTCCTCAGCTATAATGTGGGATTAATAATAATACCTCTCTCCCAATTATTGTGAGGATTAAATGTTTTAAATTACAAAAAAAGAAAAAAGCATCTGTGTATGAATATTAGGCAATCTACTAGCCTCATTTTTTAGCTAAATAACTTGTTTCTTCACACCAGCCTTCTGGGTGGGCAAGTCTCAAAAGTTATGGAGCTTTGCAGGGACTTGAAAAATAGGTAAGGCCATACATGCTAAACTGGCAAATGGCATGGTTCTGCTCAGCTGTAACTTACATGCTGTGACTGATGTTACAATGGTTATTCTCTCTTTCAAGTTTCTGACTACAAGATTCACAATTCTTCCAGCCATCTTCTGTCTTAATCCAACTCCATCCAGGAGATCTCCAGTCCTGACCCAAAAATGGCATAGTTCTCCTATGAAAAAGTTAATTTATGTTAAAAAGTATATATAATTCATAAAAGTTTCTTTTCACTTAGAACATTTATTCATTAATTTTAAAGATTAAAGTTCTTAACATTTAAATGTCTGCTCATTAATTAAATGTTGGCTGGACATTGGTGACAGTGACAATAACACAGTACTTTGATTGTACTAAAGTGATAAAATGGGGTAAGTAAACGTGGTTTTACTGGCCTAATACTGCATATCCCACGAAAGGTTTACCAGAGGTGACATTCAAGCTCATACCTGAAAAACAAGCAGGGGTCAGGGAGTGTGGAATAGGGAATATTATCCCAAACAAGTATTCTCTTTACCAGAAGTTAGGAGCAACCAAAAATGAAATGTATTCATGTTCAGCAACTCTAAGTAGTTCAGTTTGGTTGAAGCTTAGAATAGATGAGAGGGAGTGGGCCAGAATTAAGGATGGAGAAGTCATTTAAGGCTGGATCAAGTCAGAGGAGTTGGATGCTATTCTGAGGGCAATGAGGGGCCAAAAAAGGGAAGTAAGCAGGTAAGTGATTCAATTAGATTTGTGGTTTACAAAGAACTCAGTATCACACTGGGAGAAGGTATGGGGTGAGGATCACCTGCAGGAAAGTAGTTGGGACTGGAGGCTTCTGAATGTTGATTTTTAAAAGGTGAGAGTGTACAGTGGCAAAAGAAACAGAAGAGCAGAGACTACAGAAACATTTAGGAAACAGAGTCAAACAGTACTTGAAGACTGGCTGGAAACGTGAGGAGGAAATCAAGGAAGTTATCTAGATTTTGTTTTGTAGCCCCTGGTTCTGGGATAAGACATACAGAAGGAACAGCAGGGTTTTATTAGGAAAGGAGAGATAAGGGATATTAATTTCAGCTTCGGACATGCCTGTTCAGTTTGAAATACTAGACTCCAGGTATAAAAATTATGACTTAAAAAATGATGCAACTTCGTGATTAACTTCATGAAGCTCACAATTTGATAAGAGTGAGACTTCAAATGCTAGTTCTTCCCATTAACTTGATTTCTGCTCCTCTTGATCAGTGATTTTCAACTACTGCTGTGCATTAACATCACAGGAAGGTTTTTAAACATTCAAGTGCTTAGTCCCATTTTAGTTGAGTTAAATATGAATATTTGGGGGTGAAGGCTAAGTTTAAATAGTTTTTAAAGGTCCACAGGTGATTCTCATACACAGTGAGACTGTGCATGAGGCTAAAAACCACCTCAGATGTTCACACTGCTGATTCAAAATGTCACATCCCAGAAAGGCTCCCTGACTCCCTGTCCAAACAGTGCTGTTCTGCTGCCTCAACCCCATCCCTACCAGTCTAAGTCATTATCTAGTGCCTTCATAGTTGTAAGGGCTGTCTGAAATGATTAGCGTGTTTATCATCTGTTTTCCTCCAAGAAAATGCAATGTCTTGTTCAGGTCCGTATTCCATTACCTTGAACAATGCCAGGAAAACAACAGGAGCTCTATAAGTATTTATTTACTGAATGAATAAATATATAGATCCATGGTTCAGAAGAGAGTTGGACTAGAGAGAAAGAGGAAAATCATGAGCATTTAGATACTAATCAAGACCACACAAATAATATCACAGAATATGTCGAGAGGGAAATCAAGAGAGCCAAGAAAAAAACCCTAAGAAACATCACCATTTAAGGGACCAGCAGATATAAGCCAAAAAGAAAAACTGAAAAGGAAGAGCCAAAAAGGTAGAGGGAGAAGTAGGAAGCCAGGAGAAAAATGTATTTCAAGAAAGAAATGATCGACAGAGACGAAAATGTTATAAAAACGCCAAGCATGGCAAGAGTTGAAAATATACGTTGAATTTAGCTACAGAAAGGTAGCTGAATTACTCAAGTAAAAGTGGTTTCTGTAATGTGTTACTTTAATTTCACGTCCCGAACAGACTTGAGTATTTTATAATGTAGAATATTTATATCGTAGAGAATAATGTAGAATATTTACATCATGGAGAATAAATGAGAGATGAACATCTCCAAACACCACCTCCCAACTATATTTAGTATAATTAACAAAAAACAAGTTATTAAATGGGCACTTATACAATCCTAGAAGATACAGAAAAAAAAAGGAAGGAAATTACATAGACTTCAACAATATTCCTGGATCAACCACAAATGCTTAACTCTTGACTGGTGTAGGAAATGTATGATGAAGTAATTATTCTTTACACGAAGAAAATCTCAAACCTTGCTAAACTGACTTATAGTCAGAACATGTCTTTTTCAGTCACATAATGATTAATTTAAATTCTTGCTTTAGAAAATACTTTATTCCTTAAATTTCAGCACAATTTTGATAAACTTTGTCTCACAGAACTGCTTCACAACTACTGAACATCTTAAAATGCAAAACTCAATGCCCATGTTCAGTCGATCTAGAGTTATCTAAAACTATCTCTAATAGCATACAGCTGATTTTATGATTTTCAAGAACATTCCCACCAAAGGCAGAAAAGACCATGAAGTAGCAGATGCCTGTTTAAGTGGCACCTTGAGTCTCATAAAACACATTCAACAGAAAATGGCTGCTAGGAACATCTCTGATAATTATCAAATTATCTCTCAATATCAACTTGAAACTGTGGATTCAGAAATATATATTTTAAAAAAAAATCAAGTGGATAATCCTGAAAAATACTGCTAACAGATTTTGTTACTGCTAACAAATACAGGATTTGTATTTGTTACTGCTAACAAATACAGGATTACTTCAACGACAAACATTTGAGCACCAACTACATGTTATTATGCTAGGTGTTCCTGCCCTCAAAAGTGTGCAATTTAGCTAAGGAACTAAAAAAGAACAATAGCAAAACACAAATTCCATACAAGTGTACTATAATAAAGTGTGTTTACATGTAGATATGTGAGTGTGCATGTATACATACATACACATATGTCCACAATCTTGTAACTTGTGGTAAAGAGAGAATAAAGTTAATTTGAGCAGAAAGCAAATCAGCTGGGAAAGCTCTGACGAGAAACTAGGACTTGATCTTGGCCCTAAAGCATGGTTAGATCTTAAATTAATGGAGAGGCAAGGCAAAAAATATCAATCATGGGAATGGTGGGTGCATAAGTATAAAGGTCAAAATGTGTGCCACAGTTTGAGAAAAATAAGCAGAAAAGATTGGATAAAATGGAGAAAGTTTATCAGAGGACTGGTACATAAGCTGGGAAAGTGACTAGAAGCCAGGTCATAGAAGAATATCAAAGAATATCAAAGGTGTTTAGACTTTATTCTGTCAGTAATTAAACGTTTTTCAGCAACAGATCAGTGTGAGCAGTGTTGTTTTGAGAATAATAATTTTCTAGGGCTTGTAGGATAGATCAAATGAAAAACATGGAGACAGAAAAAAACAACTAGGCAACAAATATCTTGCCAACAGAACCTTATCTGGATGACTGTCCTATGTACATCCCGGTATCCTCAGCTGACAAAATATTTTAAAACGTGATGACACACAAATATTGTACTTACCTATTTAGACACTATGCCCACTCATCATTTAATACACTTATCTTCTAGTTTCACAAACAATCTTTATAACATTTACATAAAGAGCCTGCCTACTGTTTCCATTAATATAACCAATTCTTTTACAACTACCTAAACTCTACAGTTAATTCATTTTGGCAACTCAGTGAGAAATGAATAGTTTGGTCTGAATTTCTCAGCTGCTAAGTTTGATTTTTTTAAGGGTTGAAAGGAGTGAAATGCAGCCATGGAAATAAAAAAATAGTCCATGCCCAAAGGCTTATTTTCAACACAGAGGAAAAGATTTGTTTCTCTGAAGATGTGTGTGCTTCACAGATTTGTTATGGTATGCTCTTTGGATCACAATGAAGTTTTTCTTAAAGCATAATCTATACAGCTCATGAACTAAAGCACAAACTCTGGATGCAGATTAAAAACAACAACAACAACAAAAAAAGACAAGTTGCAATTTAAAAGGTCTGGGGTCTGGATCTCAAGTTTTCAAAAATACTCCCAAACTGAGGCTTCTGAGTTTGTAAATCAGAAAACAATGCTACTAAAGTTTTATAGAATGATGACAACCCACGGCTTTTAATGGGAATGTATTTGTTCAGCTAAAAAAATGTGAATTGCTAGAGCTTTGTACGCTTATTTTAATTAAAATTACCTTTATTTTGGGATTTGCAAATACAAAAAAAAACTAGAAATTACTCCTGAAAATTATTAAACTTTTAAGAGCAAGCACTCAAAGGGTGTAGCTTGTATAATTTGCAAATTTTAAGCACATTTTATGCCAACTTATTTCAGACAGCCTACAATGATTAACTATTTTAAATCTTCCCTTAATTTCTATTTCATGTGGTAGGACATGTGGGTGGGGTACTTCAGTAGAAAATGACTTCATGAAGTTCATTTGCTGGTGGAAACTCTTGGCATGAGAGACTCAGAACAAAAAAAAAGTCTTTCCTTCAACAAGCATATTTTTTCTTTACAATAATAATGGCAAACATTTATTAGAGCTTACTATAGGCTATGCATTACTCTAAACAATCTACATATGTTGTCTCATTTAATCCTCATGCTGTCCTCCAAGATAGAAAACATTATTCTTGTTTTACAAGTTTCATTATCTATTTTATAGATGAAGACACTGAGGCAAAGAGTTCAGTGGAGCTGGGATTCAAAATGATGGAGTCTCACTCCGGGATCCATGCTCCTACCCACTATGTTTATAATAGCAGTTCCTGAAAACCCTATTAAAACAGATGCCATTAAATTATAAGCCTTTTAACTTTTTTTTTTACCGTCTATTACAGATCACTAATATGATTTCAAGTAATGATGAATCTAAATATAAAGGCACTAAAACAAGGAAAACAAGACAGGAAAGAAAACTCTAATCCATTTTAAAAGACCACATGTGTTTCCCTATTTGTTTTGCTTAAAAGTGTGGACAAATTTGATCCAGAAAGGACATTTAAAAAAATGGCACACTGAGGGCTGAGAGTCAGAAATAAGATTTACTGTAAGGACTTACAGATAATCACAGATTCCTCATGGGAAAGGTAAACATGTAAAGACGAGGAGAAAACAGAATATGAAAGAGTAAACGTCTTTTTTGATTAGGGCCGGATGGTAAGGATTTGGAGGCAGCAAGAGACAGCTTCATAAGGGAAGAAATGGTTCTCTAGATTCTTTAGTCTTCAAAATGAGTTTGAATAGACCCAAGGACAGAGGTGGAATCTAATTGAGAAAAAGGTCAAATTGAGCTTACTGTGAGGGGAAGGATGCAAAATTAGTGTCTGCTGCAAGAAAAATAAGCATGGAAAGAAATTAAGGGAGGAGACAGAGACAGAGCCAGAGCCACAGACCAGGAGTAGGGAAAAAAAGGTAAGCAGCAGACGGGGCAGAGTGGCCTGGAGGAATGAGGGGTCACACCTAGCAGGTGCCCACCGGCGAAGAGGCAAGGGCCGAGCCCGGAGGGCAAACGCCGGCAGGAGTCGTCCCCGAAACACCTTGCCCAGCGAGGCGGACACAAGCTCGGGCCTGCAAGACGGCCCAGGAGGGTGGGGGCGGGAAGGGGTCGCAGAAGGTGGGCAGGGGAAGCGGCTGAGGACACGCGATGCACCTGTGGGCGGTCCCCGTGCCCACCTGACTCGCCCGCAGCTCCCTGAATGAACCCTCCACACCCGCCGGCCGCCCCCAGACCCCACCTGACGCGCCCGCGGCCCATCGTCCCTTCCTGACGCGCCCGCGGACCCAGACCTCAGCAGACGCGCACGCGGCAATCCCGTCCCCATCTGACGCGCCCGCGACAACCCCGTCCCCACCTGACGCGCCCGCGACAACCCCGTCCCCACCTGACGCGCCCGAGACCCCCGGTCCCCACCTGACGCGCCCGCGACCCCATGTCTTCCCCTGACGCGCCCGCCGCCCCCGGTCTTCACCTGACTCGCCCGTGGCCCATCGTCCCCACCTGACGCGCCCGCGATCCCCAATCTTCACCTAAGGCGCCTGCGGCGCCCAGTCTTCACCTGACGCGCCCGCGGCACCCCGTACCTACCTAGCGCGCCTGCAGCCCCCAGTCTTCACCTGACGCGCCCGCGTCCCCCAGTGCCCAACGGGCGCGCCTGCCACCTGGGCCGGCACCTGACGGCGACCAGGCGATTATTGCCGGAAGTGGGCCACCGCCTCTCGGCGCGCCTCAGGGAAGCCCCGCCCCTGGCCATGCTGATTGGCCGGCGCGGATTCGCGTGGCAGTGTTGCTGCCGGGTCCTGACGCCCGCAGCGTGCGCCTGCGTAGTAGGCACTGCCCCGCCGTCCGCGCGCGCCCAGAGTGCCGGGCGTGGAGGTGTGGGGGCGCGGGGGCGCGGGGGCGCGGGGGCGCGGGGGGGCGGGGGCGGGGGGGCGCAGGGACGGGCGCGGTCAGTGCCTGAGATCCCTGCGATCGCTGGGAGATGACGGTGAAGACCTGAGATTTAGGCCTGCGCGGCGGGTGACGACGCCGGTCCGGGTCTTCACTGGAGGACGCTGGCCGGGGCCTTCAGGTGTTCTCGTGGCCTGAGGACGCGCGTCCCTGAGAATGTGCGTGCCCGCGCCGCGCGGGTCCCACAGGAGCCTGGGCAGCCCCGCCGCCGCATTTCCACCCTGCGGCCGTATTTCCACCCGCTGGGCGCCAAGCCCGGGATGACTGCACTCTAGGGCATCACTGCGCGCTCACACTCAGCATTCAGGCACAAGCACGTTCTCTTTATAAACAGTTTCGAATCTTGTCGAGTCTTTCTAGAAGGTTGAAATGCCCTGGAGGAGCAGCGTGAATAGTTTTTTCCAATTAGGAAAAAAGAATGTGGGGCGGCTGGAGGGAGAGAGGCAGGCCGAGAAGGCCAGGTGCGTCCAGGAGCCGCAGCCCCCGTGCCTCAGTTTCCTCCTAGAAACATGGAGGTGGCGGTGCACGCTACAGGATTTCTGTAAGAACAGATGAGTTAACGTGTGCAAAACATTTAAAACAGTGTCTGGTGTGTAGCAAGCAAATATGAGTATTAGTCTTTTCCTTGTTAAAATGTGTGCATCTACATTTGGTGCACATTACAGGAAGTGTATAGTATGGATTCATATTTTGGAAAAGTAATTTTAGAAGTTATTTCTGATGTGCTTATTGTAATAGTGTTTCTTGACCACATGCTTTTAGATAATGTGAAGGCAATGAAGCAGGCAATATTGCTTGCACATCCCCAATTTAAACACCTGTCTGTCCCTCCTTCCCTCTCTCCTTTCTTTTCTTCCTTACCCTCTCTCTTTATTCCTTCCTTCATTCCCTTCAAGGTTGCGGATTATTCCATTATATAAATGTATCAATTTATTAGAATAGTTTCTATGATGTCTATGATGGGCTTTAGATTGTTTGCAATAGTTTGCCATTACAAATAATGCCCAGTAGTGCTGTGGTTTGATTTAACTTGTGAAGGTATATTTCCAAATAAATCGCTATGATTGGATTGTTGTGTAAACCAAAAAGTGTCTGAGGCAGATCACAACTGATATAGAGGTTTATTTTGCCAAAATTGTGGATTTGCCTGGGGAAAAAGAAACACAGGTTACAGTAGGATTTTTGGCCTGTACTTTTTTCCAAATATTTAAGGGAAAAGCGCCGGTAGGAGGGGAAAGAGGGGAGAGTAGGCTATGAGGCAAGTGGTCACATTTTTGTGAGGCTCTGATTAGAGTACAGCAAATCTACATTTCACATGTGAAAAGAAAGGTATGGGGGAGGGTTATACATCTGTCTCATACTCAGTAGATCTACATTTCACATAAGATAAAGTAAGCTTTTGGGAACAAAAAGAAGGCATGTATGTGTGTGTGTGTGTGTGTGTGCGTGTGTGTGTGTGTGTTGCCAATATTAACTTTTCCCTTTGGCATAGTAAGTTTGGAGGCCTGAGATTTTATTTTTCTTTCACTGATGTGTCAAGATTAACTGCATATGGAATACTAGTAGAAATTGCCAAGCCAAGACCCCACCACCACAATAGGGGACATAGTAATATTAAATTTAGCCCAATTGGCCAGCATCCACACAATTCCTAGTGAAAGAATTCCTGGCTGGATGGTAAAGAGGTAAACTAACTGCAGAAACTCACAAAGCAACAAAAGAAGTCCACAGAATAAGAGCAGGAATTCAGAGAGTAACCACAGAGAGATCCACAGAGTAACAGCAGGAATTCACAGAGTAACAGCAGAACCCACAGTGTAACATCAGAGCCCACAGAGTAACAGCAGAGCCCACAAAGTAACGTCAGAACCCACAGAGTAACAGCAGAGCCCACAGAGTAATGTCGGAACCCACAGAGTAACACAAGAGCCCAGAGAGTAACAGCAGGACACACAGAGAAATAGCAGGAACCCACAGAGTAACATCAGAGTCCACAGAGTAATATCAGAACCCACAGAGTAAAAACAGGACCCACAGTGTAACATCAGAGCCCACAGAGTAACAGCAGGAATTCACAGAGTAACATCAGAACCCATAGTGTAATAGCAGAGCCTACAGAGTAACAGCAGGAACCCACAGAGTAATAGCAGGAACTCAGAGTAACAGCAGAAACCTACAGAACAGGATCAGAAACCCATGGAGTAACAGCAGGAAGCCATGAAGCAGTTCTGTCCAACTTAGGTCAGCATATTCATGGTCTTGGGTCTTCTTTGTGTGTGCTTTCTACCAGGACTGGGCTTAGCTCTGTGCTTGTGAAGAGTAACCCACTCAGTGCCCTCTGAAATTTCGCCACTGGAGGAGGAGAAAAACCCCAGAGGGGCGGGGAGAAACGCTTTTCAAAACACATGGTGCAGCTGGAGATTGTGGTGCAGTTGCCCAGGCAGAAGGCTCGGCAGGGGGAAGTAGTGACCAGGAGGGAGGTGCCTCCTTAACCACAGAGATTTTTTGGCAACCAACTTATTGAAAAATCACGTTTTAAAATTTTCTTTAAGTCAAACCCTACAGAACCTAAGGAGCTGGCTCCTCCTGGCAGGAAGCTGGGAGAGTGCTGGTCACAGTGCACCAGGTGCCCCCTGCCTCACAGGGGCTTAGGGTGGTGGTGAGCACAGGGGCCCCACGCTTCTCCAATGCACACCACACAGTCGTCTCCTCTGACCTTCCCAAATGCTGCACGGACAAGTGTTTGTAGTCCCTAACTCTCAGGACAATGTAGACTTGGTATACCTTCGGGCACGGGGAATCCCATCCTTCTTCCTGTTCCTGCCGCTCTGAAGCATGTGGTGTATGTTTAATGGGGATTTTACACAATATGGGAAGACCACTTCTGCTTTCTATGCAGTGATAATACTGCAATAAGAAAAAATGAACCAAGCCACCAAAACAAAACAGTACCACCTGATGCAGAACTAGGAGGGAAACACAGCAGTGTCTCAGAGCTAATGCAGCAGCCAGGCACCACGACGGTGTCATGGGTACAAGGAGGAGGTGTCTCAGAGCTAATGCTCTGTGCTGACAGCAGCCAGGCACCACGACGGTGCCATGGGTACAAGGAGGAGGTGTCTCAGAGCTAATGCTCTGTGCTGACAGCAGCCAGGCACCACGACGGTGTCATGGGTACAAGGAGGAGGTGTCTCAGAGCTAATGCTCTGTGCTGACAGCAGCCAGGCACCATGACGGTGCCATGGGTACAAGGAGGAGGTGTCTCAGAGCTAATGCTCTGTGCTGACAGCAGCCAGGCACCACGACGGTGTCATGGGTACAAGGAGGAGGTGTCTCAGAGCTAATGCTCTGTGCTGACAGCAGCCAGGCACCACGACGGTGTCATGGGTACAAGGAGGAGGTGTCTCAGAGCTAATGCTCTGTGCTGACAGCAGCCAGGCACCACGACGGTGCCATGGGTACAAGGAGGAGGTGTCTCAGAGCTAATGCTCTGTGCTGACAGCAGCCAGGCACCACGACGGTGTCATGGGTACAAGGAGGAGGTGTCTCAGAGCTAATGCTCTGTGCTGACAGCAGCCAGGCACCACGACGGTGTCATGGGTACAAGGAGGAGGTGTCTCAGAGCTAATGCTCTGTGCTGACAGCAGCCAGGCACCACGATGGTGCCATGGGTACAAGGAGGAGGTGCCTGGTTTTCGGGAGCTTGCCATCTGAACAGACCCAAGGTGGCAAATACACAGTGAGAAAATGGGGCCATGAGTGCTGTAATTACCTACAGAATGTTTAGGGGGACTGGGAGCAAAAACAATCCCCTCTTTCAGAAACCAATCCTGGAAGGTGCTGGAAGGTTGTACTAGCTGTGAAAGTCAGAGGCCACCAGGCAGCTATCGTGAGACCAAAGGCAGTAGTCAGCTCAGGCAAGCCGGTTTCCTTATTTATGTCAAATTCCTCAGTCTTGGGTCTCCTTATCTTTTAAATAAGGAGTTAGAATAGAATTTGAGGGCTGTTCACTCAGGCATCCATGGTGGCTGCAGCATAAGGAGTGTGTGGTGTCAGGATGGGAAGGGCAACATGGAGACTGCATGGCCATTGACGTCTGAAAGTCTCTGGTTGCCAAAAAGAATCTATCTACAACAGCATTCATCCTGACAGCAGCCAACAGGCAGCCTAGACCTGGCATGCCACAGCTCCTCTAGGCTCTGAACCCCTCTCAGCTGAGCCTGGTAGATGCCAGCTGACCGGCTGCAGCCCCTGAGTAGAGGTTGGCTGTCCTAGCAATAGAGTAGGGCGGGGGCACAGCAGACATGGGACCATCATCTGGATTCCTAGACGTGCAACTGCAAGTGAGTACATAACCTCCTGAGCCCCAGCTCTCACCTGAAAGCTGAGTTAGGCGCACACACAGGAAGGCAGAGATGGGTCCAGGGCTGGGCTTCTGGTTCCTCTACTCAAACTCTGCTGCTCCCTGCCCCTCTGCCATCCCTGCAAGCTCCTCACTGACCATGCTTGTCTCAAGCGTTCTCTCTTCCTCCTGACCTCCTGGGGACTTCATAAATCCAGTATCTTTTTAAAATAATCTATTATTTTAGGCTCAGGGCTACATGTACAGGTTTGCTATACAGGTAAACTCATGTCTGGGGGTTTGTTGTACAGATTATTTCATCACCCTACATGTACAGGTTTGCTATGTAGGTAAACTCATGTCTGGGGGGTTTGTTGTACAGATTATTTCATCACCCTACATGTACAGGTTTGCTATACAAGTAAACTCATGTCTGGGGGGTTTGTTGTACAGATTATTTCATCACCCTACATGTACAGGTTTGCTATACAAGTAAACTCATGTCTGGGGGGTTTGTTGTACAGATTATTTCATCACCCTACATGTACAGGTTTGCTATACAAGTAAACTCATGTCTGGGGGGTTTGTTGTACAGATTATTTCATCACCCTACATGTACAGGTTTGCTATACAGGTAAACTCATGTCTGGGGGTTTGTTGTACAGATTATTTCATCACCCTACATGTACAGGTTTGCTATACAGGTAAACTCATGTCTGGGGGGTTTGTTGTACAGATTATTTCATCACCCTACATGTACAGGTTTGCTATACAGGTAAACTCATGTCTGGGGGTTTGTTGTACAGATTATTTCATCACCCTACATGTACAGGTTTGCTATACAGGTAAACTCATGTCTGGGGGGTTTGTTGTACAGATTATTTCATCACCCTACATGTACAGGTTTGCTATGTAGGTAAACTCATGTCTGGGGGGTTTGTTGTACAGATTATTTCATCACCCTACATGTACAGGTTTGCTATACAGGTAAACTCATGTCTGGGGGTTTGTTGGACAGATTATTTCATCACCCTACATGTACAGGTTTGCTATGCAGGTAAACTCATGTCTGGGGGTTTGTTGTACAGATTATTTCATCACCCTACATGTACAGGTTTGCTATACAGGTAAACTCATGTCTGGGGGTTTGTTGTACAGATTATTTCATCACCCTACATGTACAGGTTTGCTATACAGGTAAACTCATGTCTGGGGGGTTTGTTGTACAGATTATTTCATCACCCTACATGTACAGGTTTGCTGTGTAGGTAAACTCATGTCTGGGGGGTTTGTTGTACAGATTATTTCATCACCCTACATGTACAGGTTTGCTATACAGGTAAACTCATGTCTGGGGGTTTGTTGGACAGATTATTTCATCACCCTACATGTACAGGTTTGCTATGTAGGTAAACTCATGTCTGGGGGGTTTGTTGTACAGATTATTTCATCACCCTACATGTACAGGTTTGCTATACAGGTAAACTCATGTCTGGGGGTTTGTTGTACAGATTATTTCATCACCCTACATGTACAGGTTTGCTATGTAGGTAAACTCATGTCTGGGGGTTTGTTGTACAGATTATTTCATCACCCTACATGTACAGGTTTGCTATACAGGTAAACTCATGTCTGGGGGGTTTGTTGTACAGATTATTTCATCACCCTACATGTACAGGTTTGCTATACAGGTAAACTCATGTCTGGGGGGTTTGTTGTACAGATTATTTCATCACCCTACATGTACAGGTTTGCTATGTAGGTAAACTCATGTCTGGGGGGTTTGTTGTACAGATTATTTCATCACCCAGGTATTAGCCTAGTACGCAATAGATAGTCTTTCTGATCCTCTCCCTCCTCCCACCCTCCAGCCTCAAGTAGGCCCCAGTATGTGTTGTTCCCCTCTGTGTGTCCATGTGTTCTCATAATTTAGGATATGAGGATAATGGCCTCCAGTCCCATCTATGTTCCTGCAGAAAACAGGATCTCATTCTTTTTTATGGCTGCATAGTATTCCATGGTGTATACGTACCACTTATTTTTTTTTTATCCAGTCTATCATTTTTGGGCAATAGATTGATTCCTTGCCTTTGCTATTATGAACAGAGTAGTGTGGGCTTATAGTCCCAGCTACTCAGGAGGCTGAGGTGGGAGGGTTGCTTGAGCCCATGAGGTGGAGGGTGAAGTGAGCTGCGGATTGCAATGAAAAAACACGTGCATGCATCTTTACTGTAGAACAATTTCTATTCCTCTGTGTATGTACCCAGTAATGGGATTGCTGAGTGGAATGGTAATTCTTTTAGCTCTTTGAGGAATCACGATACTGCTTTCCACAATGGTTGAACTAATTTACGCTCCTATCATCAGCGTATAAGTGTTCCCTTTTCTCTGCAACCTTGCCAGCATCTGTTATTATTTGACTTTTTAGTAATAGCTACTCCGACTGGTGTGAGATGGTATCTCATGATGGTTTCAATTTGCATTTCTCTAATGATCAGTGATATTGAACTTTTTAAAATGTGCTTGTTAGCCACATGTATGTCTTCTTTTGAAAAGCGTATGTTCATGTCCTTTGCTCACTTTTTAATGGGGTTGTTTGTTTTTTTTCTTGTAAATTTAGTTCCCTATGGATGCTGGATATTAGACCTTTGTCAGATACATAGTTTGCAAATATTTTCTCCCATTCCATAGATGATCTGTTTTCTCTGCTGATAGTTTCTTTTGCTGTGCAGAAGCTCTTAACTTTAGTCGGATCCCATATGTCAATTTTTGCTTTTGTTGCTATTGCTTTTGGTGTGTTCGTCATGAAATATTTGCCCTTTCCAGTGTCCAGGATGGTATTGCCTAGGTTGTCTTCCAGGAAATCAGCACCTTATGACTTGTTTCAGTTATTTAAATCTTAGCCCAGCCCTGCTCTCTACTTAAAACAAAACAAAATGAAACAAACAAACAAAAAAAAAACTCAGTTCCCCATGGAGACTGAAAGCCCTCTGAAGGCTGAGATGAAAGTCTTATACTTTTTGGAGCCTTGAGTGTCCACCTCTAACTGTGGAGAAGGAATGGAAAGAGAGGTGCAACACACGGGCTGCACATCTAGCTGGAAATGTGCAATCCAAAGGGCACGACTTTTGCTGAAACCCCGGGAGTGGGCCAAGGCCGCAAAGTCAGTCAGATGTGGTATCAGTGTTTGCTCATTGTGTTAATGATTATTTCTATGGTGACATGGCTTTTTTGTTTCTCTGTTGCCTTACACGAGATCCAAGCAATGAGACACACACAGCCCAAGCAGGGATGGCAGAACTCAGACCCGGACCAAACTCCTGGCTGCAATTTGTTCATACAACAGGTGGTGTCTGTCTCTGTTGTCATTTGAGCCTGGAATTCCTACAGCCTTCTCCCTATGTCCACCAAATATGAGGCCACTAGTGGCTGGGTGTCCAGGCAGCAGGACCTCTTAGCACTGGCAGGGCTGGCCCTCAGACAGCCTCTGACTTCACTCACCCTGATCTCCTGTCCACCGTGACTGGAGGGGAGAGGCAGCTCTCTGGGGTCTCCTTCTAAGGGCACTAATCCCATTTACAAGAGCTCCCCTCCGTGACCTCATCACCTCCCAAAGACCCTGCCTCCTAACACCGTCACACGGGGATTAGGATTTCAGCACAGGAATCTTGTGGGGGAACCAAACATTCATACCCTGGCCATGGCCCAGGTAGCCAAGTGCATTATGTCCGGGGTGAGCTGAAAACCCAGCTCTTCCGAAGAGGGGCAGGAGTGTGAGGAAGCCCTTACTTGTAGCATTTGCTAATTTCTGTTATGTATAGACTCCAACCATGGCTAATTTCACACTGCCCATGAGACAACACTGAATGAGGAGGCGGGAAGGGGTGCACTTGGTCCACTCCCCCAAGCCGATTCCAGCCACCTCCAGCACCCCACTGGGCCTGTGCCTATTGTAAACTATGAGAGCTGTTGGTGCTTTCTGTTCGTTAATGAGTCTTAATTCTAGCACATCTTGAGAAGAATGTTTCCATGTGCCAGATTGTCCAGGAGTGGGAATTTTCCAAGTTTCCAGTTAGGGCCACTGGTTGTACAAATGATGACGACCGGCCACAGATGGTTGGTCCCAGGGTTTCAGCAAAGAAGCCGGTAAACTGAAGGTAGTGAAAGTGCACGTTAAACAGCATGGGTTTTTCCAAGCAGCTTCGTCAGCAGAAGTTTATTCCTTTTTGATTGAATTTAAAAATACAGAAAAAAATAGAAAGGCAATATTTTCTAATGCAACTGGTCATAGCAACTCATTATGGTGATATGCTGCATGTTCTGGAAAATTAATTTGGGTTATAGAAATAATATGATGAAATGGTTAATGGGCATTCTTCCAATAACTTCTGGGAGCAAAAGAAATTAAAGCCAATTTAACTAGCAGAAATCCTTACTAAGTTAGAAGAGAAGGTGGAACTGAATAAGTGAAGATGTCAACACAAATGATTCTTATCTTTTGGAGAAAGTGCCTGATGCACACATGGAAAAGGTAAAATCAGAAGGTAGAAATTTAGCTTCTCTATTTAGGTGAGAACCTCCGCTCCACCGGGAGGGCTGAAGATGGCAAGATGGAAAGGGGGATGGATTCATGCCAGCTGGGGTCTAAGGGGGATGGATTCATGCCAACTGGGGTCTGGATCTTCAGAACCAAGTTGGTGAAACAACTTGGCTTGAGGAATAAGTCTGTATAAAGGCCAAGGTTTATTTCGGTATATCCCAGAACCCAAGCTTGCCTGGACAGCCAAGTTCAGTGTCTCTGGCTAGTCGTAAATGAGGGAGGCACTTCCCAGCCTAGTAGCAGCCTCTTCTCTATTTGCTAGCCCACATTTTCCCCTTCCCAGGTGTCTTTATCCACCTCCGTGGATAGGTGAAGCAAAGAATAGCAAAAATACCTACACTTCTGCCTGTTTTCCTAAAAATTCTCTACACTTTTACTCCAACATAACCAGGGCACTGATGGTGCAGTCCACATGTGCATAAGTTTGTTGTCTAAACTTCTAGGAGGGAGCCCTGCTGAGCAATTAGAACACAATGTAGGGTCTTCTAAAGATGACCTTAAAGGGATGAATAACAGTTAAAATACTAATGTCTCCACGTGAATCTAAGAGAATTATCAGTGAATTTACACAACAATTTCAAAAGGCAGAGACATTTGGGCACCAACATTGGGGTTTTTGTCTTCAATTAAACTCCAGATGAGCACTTCCTGGTGTCAGGAGTGGGCTCCATTTTCTAGTCCCACCAAAGCACTGGTGGGGATATTTCCTTCTGAGTCACCAGGTTCTTAATCCAATGCCCCTCCCTCTCATATGGGAAGGCGCTTGCACATGTTCTGGGCCATGGTCAATACAGGGCTCCCTGTGTAGCTACCTAGGTGGGACTTGGCAATGTCTGGTTTCTTTCTGCTCTCTGATCCATGAGTAATGCATAGGCAGCTACTGACGAAAATTCCAAAGCTCATTGATGGGAGAAGAGCAACTAACGGGGCCACTAGGCATGAGTGACTTGGTCAAGCTGCTCAAGTGGTGTTGCAAAGACTGAAGACATTAGCTTAATTTCTGTGCATTGATTCTGCTTCCTCATGTTGTACTGTTCCTGTTTGGGAAGAAAAAAAAGGAAAATTTACTCTTTCTTCCACTTTTCATTTCAGCTAAAAAAAAAATCCTACTTCTTTTCAAGGCAATGTGGATGCTGTAGTCAACTAGTGAGTGCAAAGTCATGCAGAAGGAAGTAGAGGAAAGAAACATAAGAATATTATTATTTCGAGATTTTTTTGCCCTACTGGGAGCAAATTACACTAATAGAAAAGATTCTGCTAACATTATGAGCCAGACAGCCTTAGAGGTCCATGACAAATGGCAGGTATTTTAAAGAAAGAGCCTGAGAAGAAAATAAATGACATACTTTGTGTAGATGTTTCTCCTTCCACTGAAGGACAACTGTACAGTCTACAATACTTGTTGAGCTATCAGACTTTAAAAGAGCACTTATAAGAAGGAAACACAGATTTACTGTGATTCTGGCTATGATGTGTGAAGTGCCCTCCGGTTTTACCTTTTATTATCCTGAGATGGAAGGAAAATTGCCCAGTAAGACAGTATCTGTGCAGTATCATACAAAAACTGTATCTTTTAAGTTGAAAAGTTGGCATGAGATGAGGCACTTCTCAACCTGAGGACACCTTGACCTGCAGGTGTCTTTTACAGTGTGAGTGGTTCCTCACCTTGTCAAGGCTTTGCTCAAAAGCCACTTCTTATTAGCTCTACCCTTACTATTTCAGTTAGAGCTGCCACTCCGCAGACTCAGGGACCCCTCACATGGGCTTATTTCTCCACCTTTTAACATACTGTGTCTTCTACCTATTTATTCTCTCTGTCTCTACCCGCAGGACATAAGCTTCACCAGGGCAGAAATTTTTGTCTCTTTTGTCACTGCTGCGTCCAAGTTCCAGGCACATAGCAGACACTAAACAAATACTTGGTGAATAAATGAATGAATGGACAAATTACAGAACACATTTCTCATAAGCAGTCTTATCTGTGGATGTTATTGTTCTAGGCCAGAAGAGTCTGTTCATTACACGGTGTAACTGAAAGAATGCATGAAGAAGGTTGGTAAATGGAGATGTGCAGATTCTGTTGCTGTTTTACTTACTAAAGTTTGACAGTCTCCTTGCTTGTTTAATACAGCTGTAGAACATTAAGATACTGATTTGCTACCATTGTCAGTACTTTGTATGAAGCTTTTCCTATATTAACTAGAGATTCAAAGCAGGGAAGATGACTAATAGGAGAAATGTGGTTATGAACAATATAAGAGGTTGCAGAAAATAAAAAGATACAGGAAAGGAACCTGAAGAAGAGGAAGCCTCACCCCGCACATTTATAAAATAGATGGGTCAACTCGAAGGGAGCAAATAAAATATGTCAGCTTGCTATTGATTAAATAGGCTTTGACAAGCCCCTGGGAAGTGTATATAATGTGATTTCTATGAATGAGGAGGCCAAGAACCAAACTATGGAGGATAAAAATGCCTCTCTAAAATTATTGCTTAGAAAGCAGACAGATTTCTTAGTTGCACTCCTATATTAATTAGTATATTATTACATTATTAATTAATATCATTTTGCTGAAACAATATAGTAGGTGGCATATACTATATGCTTAAGATTTATTGCATCAATAAATGGATAAAGATAGAAAAAAACCCAGAAAGTTCAGACAAACATAAGGAAGACACATTTAGAAACCACTCATCATTCCACCACTCAGAAATATCCACTGTTCTTTTTAAGTGAAGCCCTATTTTTAAGCCTCAAATTGTTATAAGGGAAACCACCATCTGTGGAGCTGAAGCCATCATTTGCAGAACTCCAGCACGGCAGATGTGCTGGCGCTGTGTTCCTGTATTTCAGGGTCCTCTGCACCATGCTTCTCCACCTGTGGTCCCCAGCTGCTTGCACTAGAGTCACCTGCAGTATTGTACTATTTATTCAAATATGGATGCTCAAGCCCTGTCGTGCCTACACAGATTTTCTGGGGTGGGGTCTGGGCATAAACAAGCAGCTTGTTGCCCTAATGCACAGCACCGCCTTCACCCTGGGTCTAGACACACGGCTCCCAAGTCTGCCAGGCTGTGCACCCAGGCTCACCTGCAGAGCTTGCTAAAGCTCTGGAATGTACCTCCACCAGGTGTCGTTCATTTTAATGGTGGTAAAACCTGTGCCCTCCATTATCAAACATCTTTCCAGCTGATCCTGGGTAGACAGGCTTGGAACCCTGCTACAGATCAGTGCATTCCTACCTGACTTTGAAATGCTCAAACTCTTTGTTCCAGTGACTGACTGGGCTTTCAGTTAACATGTAAAGCAAATAAAGTGTTATTGCTCTATTCAAATCAGAGAATCTGGGCAGACTCAGGCTCCCCAAATCTCCACACTAGTCCTAAGGGGCTCTGGGTGAAAGGCGGTCTTGATGGTGGCCTCACGTGGCTGGGCTGAACTGCAGCCTCTGAAGACAGCACCAAGTCATTTTCATGTATTTGACCTCCCACAGGGGACGTAACAGAGGGTCTGGGTGTGGTCAATATGCCATAAACATTTGTGGAATGAATACAGCACAGGAGGAGGAAAGCGTAACATACTCGGATGTCTGCCAACCTCCAGGCGTGGCCCAGCTGGATGCCAATATTCAATTCACCCTTTGCTCCTCCTGTGCTGAATGGCCAGGTACTGTGTGACCCAGGTGGGTGCCGGTAAGAAGGACAAATGAAATGCTCCTGGCTCTACCATATAAACCCTGTGTGCCTGGAAAACATTGCTTGATGTCCTATTAAGAATGTTGGATTCCAAGAGCAAATAAGCATTTCCTGCAGATGCTATAAATAACAGAACGACCACAATTTCTGAGGTAAAACTAAATATTAACTATTTCTGTATGCTTGACCCAATGTCAGTTTCCAAGAGCACTTTTCATAGTGGGTACAGGGAAGTGATGAAAATATATTAGACAGCATTTTGGTTGAGAAAATAGGGGGTAGGAAGGATTCTTGGCAGAGCTGTGCCCAGAATTCCCTGTGGTCCTGCAGACGCTTGGGTCCTCATTGTGGTTTGCTGTGGCCTCAACATTCCTCTGGCCTTCTCCCAGGAGGAGGTGAGGGAGAGATCAGTGAAGTTGCAAGTAGTTACACCACCCAAATTAAGACAGAGAACAGCAACCACGTGACATGTGTATCTGCCAAAGGGAATGGAAAGAGGTCTATGTTACATTGTTGATCCTCCTGTCCCTTCTCAGGGGTGTCAGTCAGAGTCCCACTAGAGAAGAAACAAAGAACATTCAAGTTGGGATCATTTAAGGAGTGTTTAATAAAAGGACAGTGTACAAAATTGTGAGGAGGGTTTAAGAAAACCACAAGGGGTGGTGCAGACACCAGGCTGGTAACAGTGAGGCCTGATCCCCAAGTTGGCACTTGGAGCAGAAACAATGCCAGGGAGACGTCACCAGGGCACAGGAGAGGCCGTTGCACTTACACAGGTGTGCAAGGCAAGACTCCCTGAGAACCTTCAACAGCAGGTTTATGAATATTATGGGACAATGGCTGCTTCTCCTTGAGGAGGAGTAGAGAAGCAAGCTTGCTTACTGTTTCTTTTTCTTTTCTTTTTTTTTTTTTTTTTTGAGACAGGGTTTTACTCCCGCGGCCCACATTGGAGTGGATCGGGGCAATCTCGGCTTACTGCAGCCTTCACCTCTCAGGCTCAAGTGATTCTTCTGCCTCAGCCTCCCAAGTAGTTGGGACTGCAGGGATGCACCATCATGCCCAGCTAATTTTTGTAGTTTTTGTGTAGGAGGGCTCTCGCCACGTTGCCCAGGCAGGTCTCGAACTCCTAGGCTCAAGCAATCGGCCCACCTCCGGCCTCCCAAAGTGCTGGGATTACAGGCGTGAGCCATGGCGCCGGCCTGTTTACTGTTTCTGTGCATGTGAACGTGCGTCCTTTCTGAACTCTCACGGGTTGATGGCTAAATGTGCCACTAAATGATTTAACCCAGGGTTTAGAAGCCAGCCCTCTGACACCTTAACATCAGAAAGGCAGTTCTCCTAGAGTCAGGCCTGAAACAAGCATTCTTCCTGGGAAACACCCGTTATTGTAGAGGGGCCTGTAGACAGGGAACTGCGGTGGTTGGAAGGTGTGCGCACGGCCCTGTGATTTAGGACCAGAGTTTCCAGAGCCTGTGCCCTGTGCCATGACCTCACAGAGTGCTGCTGAGTTTGTATCTCCCCTTCCCCCTTGGGTGGGCCTGGAAGGCCAGAGGGGGCTGGAGTTGGGGTTTGCTTTTCCCCAAGTAGGTTAGACTGATGAAAAATTTGGGTCTGTTAGACTCTGGTGAAATAATTCCCCCTAAAGCAGCCCTCATGAGAACAGGGTGTATTTCAAAATAATCCTTTTCCCCTGGCTGTAAGTAAGTGGGGATATTTCCTCCCTCCCTTTTTTTTTTTTTTTTTGAGACAAGTTCACCCTCTGTCACCCAGGCTGGAGTGCAGTGGCGCGATCTTGGCTCACTGCAACCTCTGCCTTTGGGTTCAAGCGATTCTCCTGCCTCAGCCTCCTGAGTAGCTGGGACTATAGGCGCGCGCCACCACGCCCGGCTAATTTTTTGTATTTTAGTAGAGATGAGGTTTCACCATGTTGCCCAGGGTAGACTCAAACTCCTGAGCTCAGGCAATTGGCCTGCCTCGGCCTCTCAAAGTGAGCTGGGATTACAGGCGTGAGCCACCGCGCCTGGCCGATTTTTCCTCTCTAATGTGGGAACCTGGTCGAGCTCTCGGAGGTAAAATTCACCAAGCGCAGGTCCCCCATGACTGGGTTCCCCTGGAGTTTTTCTCTCACTTGTCCAGGTGGCATCTCCAGAAATTCATGAGGGGCAGCTCAAGTCCCTGGCACTGGCCCCGCAGAGGTTCTGCTCCTGTCAGCTGAGGTTCTCAGAACCCACTTGTCTGTGTCTCCAGATTTGGGGGCCGTGCTTTGCCTGGTGACTCAGTTCTCCGACGGGTGAAGAAGAGTTGTTGATTTTCAGTTTGTTCATCCTTTTCCTTCCGTGTGGATGGGAACTGGACTGGACCCTGGAGCCCGGAGCCAAGAAGTCAGGAAGATGATTCCACAGGAGCTCAGGTGTGTCTGTCGCCTGCACCCATGGTCCCTCCCCGAGAAAGCAGACCCACGGCCCCTTCAAGTCCCTCCCTCCACACTGCCCACCCTGCAGCAGGGCCTTCTTCATTCCCCTTCACCGGTGCTCACTGCAGGTAACAGAGGGGCTGGGTGTGGTCATTGTGCTGGACCCTGGAGCATCTGGGCATGCTCATGCTGATCTGGGCATACACCGCTGCAGTGTCCCTGAGAGAAGGAAAATAATCCAATAGAGACAAAATATATGTTTTTTTAAAAAAGAGGATCACCTGAAGGATGTTATCAGCAGCTTCTTAGCAGTGCTCATTTCACCTGCAGAAGCAGCTCTCTGCGTTTTGATTAATTCATTACTGGCTCTGAGATAAGGCTAGGACAGTCTGTATAGCCGGCTTAGAGATTAGGAAAAAACATTTCTATTGCTGCAAACTCCTTCCTGCTAATCTTCCTTCTGATCTACCATGGGCAGGGTGCACGGGTGGGAAATGCATGCAGCCATTCCACCCGTGAAGACGAACTAATAGAAATCCAGGCTTCTGAAGAAGGTGCCGCGGGGGCAACAACCCACCTTGCAGCAGGGTTCTTAGCAAATCCCACAACACAGAACTGAATTGTGTAGCACAGCTTTACTGGCACAATGAGGGTCAATGACAGGGAAGCGTGTCGACACCAGCTTAAAAACAATCAGGGGTTTTTGCACACCAAGACAACACCTGGCTGCTGGGGAGGCTCAGAGTTGGGGTGCTCAAGGGGGTATGGGGCCGTTCTAAATGAGCTCCCATCTTGGAGGCTGCTCTAGAAGCTAAGAACTTGCAGACCTGACTAAGGGCTGTAAACCTCATTTTGGAGTGCAGAATCCCAGGCTGTGGTCTTGGAACCCCTGGGAATATGTTGAGTTGTCATAAGGGCCCTTCAAGCAACTGTGGTCTGAGACTGACATGTCTCCAGGTGTGGTTTTGGGTCCACCAAGGTGCTTAGATGCTTTTGTGATGAATTAAATACAAATTCAGTAAAATGTTACTAAACAAAGTGCCTTTTTGTCCTTATGCCCTTTCCCAGTAAATATTCTGAGAACAATAATATCAAGTATGTGTTCGCGAGAAATTTTGAGATAAATGTGTTTCATGCTGGCAGAGTCAGGAGCCACAGCAAAAACAATGTGAAGACGCATTCCGCCAGCTCCTGGGCGGGGAGGTGGTACGGGAGTCGGGCTCTAGCCCACCTGGCTTGGCAGCTGGCCCCCAGCAGCCCGCTCAGCCATCGTGCCCCGCTGGGCACTGCCCCATCATGGTCCTCAGTGTCTTCCCTTGGGACACTGGTGTCTTAGAGATGCTGGGGCACACATGGTGTTCACAGCCTCACATTTCAGGAATCAGAATGTATCTTAGTTACATGGCTTGTCATAGTTTAATTGGAAGTGTTTTTCCTCTCTCGGTTCCATGAACGCAATGGTGTGTCTACAGTCTAGAGCATCTTCGTGTGAGTGGAGCACAGTTGATGCTGCTGGAGTCACTGGAGTGCTGGAGCTTAAAGGGTGGCCCAGTCTCAAAGGGCACACCAGACTCTGTCCTAAGTCCAGGGACAAATGCTCACAGCTCCCTCAGCCACCCCCACATTGCTACGAGAGGAGGACTGCCTTGTCCCTGTTTTACAAAAGAGGAAACTGAGGCACAGGTGGGTGAGGACTGGCCTGCAGGAGAGCCAGGCCTGCTTGCTGCACATCTGCACCATAAGCCATCTCTACAGAGGGACAGACCGAAGCTGCCCAATTGACCCCCACACACAGTCAGCCGCCGGTCAGCTGCTGCACTGGTGATGTCACTGAGAGGGAGAATCTGCTCCCACGGCTGCATCTCCTGCTGTCACCATCTCCTCTAAGCCTCCACTTCACTCAGCTTCATTTAATGGGGGACATGTTCGTCTGTTCACAAACTCAACAAATGTCAAGTATTTCCTAAGCGTAGGCCCTGGGTTGAAGCCTCAGTGTGGGAATAAACAGGTTCGTGTCCCCATAGGGGTCGTGATCTAATGAGAAGAGAGACCAATCACATCACTTGGCTAATAAATAACAGGTTCTGAGATAGCTGCTGAGAGCGACAAGTATGGGGGCTATGAGAGTCTGTAAACCCGCTCTGGAGCGACAATTATGGGGGCTATGAGAATCTGCAAACCTGCTCCAGATGGAGAGGCCTGGGCTTTTTGTTCACCTCAAGTGTTGCATGAACTCTGAGGTTGAGAGGCACTTGACAGAAATGGCCGTGCTTACAGGAGCAGGGCAGACAGTGGAGAGAAGCAGAGAATGCGACGATCTCTTCCATGGGAGCCAGGCAGAAACCAGGGAGCAGAAATGAGATTCACAGCAGGCGGGAAGGCGGGGAACTGCTGCCTTCAGGCAGATGCCCATGGTGACAGCCAGGCAGAAACCAGGGAGCAGAAACGAGATTCACAGCAGGCAGGAAGGCGGGGAACTGCTGCCTTCAGGCAGATGCCCATGGTGACAGCCAGGCAGATGCTGGCACAGGACCCACGCGCCCACGGCGCCCTGCTGGGGCTGGTGGAGCAGCCACCCAGAGATGCACAAACCCTGATCCCCAGAGACTGAGTGTGTTGGGCATGGGGGAAAGGACACCCAGCTGCAGGTGGACTCAGGCTCCAAGCAGGGCCCTTGGGTGGGAGTTACCCAGGGTTACCCTTGGGGTCCTCATGTGGGAAGGACGAGGCCATCACTGCTGTGACCATGGAGGGGCCTAGCCAGGACCAAGGGCCTTGGAGCCTCTGGCAGCTGAAAGAGTGAGAAGCAGGTATATCAATTTTATATGATGCCACTTAATCTTTTTAGAAAGAATATACCTACATGAAGTAAGGAGAGAAAGGAGAAGGGGAACTCATGACCAACTCTGTGACCTGGTGGGGCCCAGGCCTCTGGTCCTCTCCAGACCCCGTGGGATGCAGCTGTGGTCGGTACAGCATCCTCTCTTCACAGTGACCATTAGGTAGCAATTTAGGAATTCTTGACCCCAGTGTGAGGTCCACTTCAGTAACAATACCAAATTGTCACGAACACACAAGCTGTCACTTTAAGAGGAGCAACGGTAAACTTGCTGAACGAAAGTGAACTTATTAAGTCATTGACCTCTGGAAAAGAATGATCCGGAGAGGGGTGTGTGTGTGGCTGATCTTCCCGGGCTTTGTGGCAGATCACGGGGCCCTTAGGAGGGAGGGGTCAGAAACCTCAGAACAATGTCTCCATTTCATCGGAATGGCATGAAATGATTCCAGTTAGAAAAGAACGCTGAAGGTCAAATATGATGCAAGGCACTGGATGTATTTGCTAATTAGCATGTTAAAGAATGAGTCAGCTACGGGAGCAGGAGTGATCGCTAACCCGTAATAATAATCTGACTCTAATTGGAGAGCCGCCCTTTGGAAGCAGAGCTTAGAGAAGCAATTTGCAGAACACATCAAAAGAGAGATTTAATCACATGTCTTTCTATTTGAAAATGTTAGCCTGTCGCTGTGTTGACATACAATCATTAATCTACCAGGTGAAAGATAGGAAGCTCAGCCCGCCCACTAATTCTTTTCAAAACATATTTTCTCTGATTGCTTGTTTTCTAACCAGGACACTGACTGTGTATGTGGCAGTTATCTTCCTGCTGCTAAACCGTTAATTGTTTAAATGTCCTGAGGTGATAACACGGAAAATCAGACGACTGGGAGCGTCTCAACATAAATGATGCAGACAGATGGAAAACAGAGCCCACATTTTCAGCCTTGAAAGGCAGCTCAGTGCCAGGCGCAGGGCAGAGAGGAGATATGGTGTGACCCAAGCAGGCTCCCTAAGACCCCAGGGTCACAGGCCCCCCCACGCCCAAGCTCTCTGTCCCTGGCGCATCTCATGTCCACAGACTCAGCAACGAGCTGGGCAGGGAAGGGAAAGAGCAGATGGACAGAAACAGGCCCAGCCAGGGCAGAGTCCTGTCGCCGATCCCTGCCAGGCCCAACCTTTGTGGGATTCCCAGGAGACCCCCTACCAGAGGTGAAGTTTGGGGCAAACCCGTGTGTCACTCTGCCTGAATGCCCCACCCCATTGACCTACTCTGTGGAGTACTTGTTGCCCCAAAGCCAGGTTCTGCCCCAGTGTTGGGTGCAGATGGGCACCGCAGCTGAGGGGCACTGGGAAGGAGGAATGGAGATGCGGGAGGCGAGAATGCACCTGAGTCCATAAACAGTTTCCATTGTTCATGATCAGGGTTTCAGCCTGTGATGAGGTGGACAGGAGCGAGAGGCCACCTCCACCCATTGGTGACCCAGGAAAGCTGAGAAGAGGAGAATGAAGTGAAAGAGGAGGGTAAGAGTGTTGAAGGTGTTCAGGGGAGCAAGCCCCGGTCGATGTGTTCTTTCCACAGCTCACTCCCTCGCCCTGCCTCCTGCCGGGCCTAGGGATGTAGCTGGTTCAGCAGAGCTGCCTCCTTCCCCAGAGGAATGACACCAGCCAGGAACCGCACAGGGCTACGCAGAGACACCAGGAAACAGAGGAACGGCACCAGCCAGGAACCACACAGGGCTACGCAGAGACACCAGGAAAAATCAAACACTTAGGCAGGAAAAAGACATTAGGCAGATGGAAAGCATACAGTGCCCATAAATATCAAGAACACGAAAATGCTGCCAATTATCACTGCTCTTATTCAGCAACACATTGAAATCCCAAACCATTGCAATACAATTCAAAATTACAAACAAACAAACAAACAAAAAAAAAAACCCAAATAACTATAAGAATAAAAAAGTACAGCAAAAGATTGACTTTCTTGCAGATGCTATGATTCTATACATATAGAATTCGAGAGAATCTTTGAATAAATTACAGACATCAATACAAGAGTTCGGCAAGAGTGCAGAGAACAAGAGCTGTACTGGGAGTTCTTAGCATTTACTCTGGCAGTCACCAGATGGGGAATAGAACCCTAAATGTGGGCCATTCATGGCCACAGTAAAATCTATGACAGTCAGAGTTGAGCAAAATCCAAAAATATGTGCAAGACCTTCCTGGAGAGAACTACAAACATGTTATTGAAAGGCCCGAAGGAAGAATTTGAGGAGGAGAAGCACCAGTGTTTCGGACAGGAGTATTTGGATAACAGTAAATTCTCCAACATCTTAGCATTCAGTGAACATTCCATCAAGATTCATCAAAATATATGGGGACTTTAACAAACTGATTCCAGAGCACATATGGAAGAATATATGTGAATAAATATCTTCAGAAATGCTCACAGATGACATGGTGTAGTGCCTGTAATTGGTTTTAAAAGAGTCTGGGGGAGGAGGAGAGGCTGGTGGGGGAGCAGAGGCAATGAAATTGGGCCTGATTTGGTGATTTTTTGATGCTGAGGACAGACACATAGGAGCTCACTCTCCTATCCCATCTACTTTTGTTTTTTAACATTTTTAAAAATAACTTAACGTTTAAAAGGTTTGAGGAGAAAAAACAGTTAAAACTTTTTTTTGGAAAAAAAAAGCCAAATTGGAAGAGAAAGCAAATATATACAAAGGTATGGTAATGAAAACAGTGTGGCGTTAATAGGTTGGCAGAAAAGTGCAGAGCTCAGAGACAGACTCTCGTGGGAGTCTGTGACCCGATGGAGACAGCTTCCTAAGTTTGGGAACAAGGCACTCAGCACACAGCCCAGGGACTGGGCTTTCATCTGGGGAACAGGGTTCCTGCCTCATTCCACCCTCAAAAGGATACTTTAGATAAATAGAAGCCTAGGTGTGAACAGCCAAAAACTAGTAGAATGAAACAGACCAGATGGATTTTGGGTTAACCGGCACTGTGAGAAGAGGAAGGAGCAGAGTCGTCAATGCAGGTCAGTGCCCGTCACGTCAGTAACATGCTCAAAAGACAGATTTATGTCACGGATAAATGCAAATATACGGGTATGTGAAACTTAAAAAACAGTCATATAAAAATACAAACCAAATACCTCAAACTGGCCGCCCCGGGTGGGAGAGGCTGCAACTGTGTTGCTGTAAGGATCCTTCTACCTCGCCAGAGTCCTTTCCAAAGGACTAGAAACCAACGTGGCAAAATATTTTGTTAATTCTGGTTGTGGGAATATGACTGTTTTATAAAATTATTTGTACTTTTTTTTGTCTTTAAAATGTTTCAAGACTGGGCGCAGTGGCTCACACCTGTAATCCCAGCACTCTGGAAGGCTGAGGCAGGTGGATCACAAGGTCAGGAGATCGAGACCATCCTGGCTAACATGGTGAAACCCCATCTCTACTAAAAATACAAATAATTAGCCGGACGTGGTGGCACACACCTGTAGCCCCAGCTACTCAAGAGGCAGAGGTGGGAGAATCACCTGAACCCGGAAGGCGGAAGTTGCAGTGAGCCGAGATTGTGCCACTACGCTCCAGCCTGGTGACAGACTGAGACTCCATCTCAAAAAACAAACAAACAAACAAAAATCAAAACTGAAAAGGGCAAAGAAGGAAGAAATCCAAAGAAACAACAAAATCGCTCCAAAGTAAGAGTCCAGTTAAGCCCTTCTAGGGAAAAGAACTGAAGGGTGTAAGGGCTCAGGGGCAGTTTGCGGAGTGAGGGAAGAATGAGCTATGATGGCTCAGGAAATAAATGCAAGAGGAAAACCTTCCAGATGTAAACATGTTAGCTGACAGAGAAGCCCAAAGAAGTAGAATAAATTGACGGGAAACAGCCCTTGACGCGTGGAACAGATCTGAGGAAGTCACACAGGATGACACGAAAAATGGCAATGCGACTGCAGTGACCTCAGAGAAGATGGTAGCTGTGGAGACGACGGGAAATAGCATGGGTGCAGTTGGTGCTCTTAAAGAAGACTGAAGAAATAAAGAAAATCAAAGAGCTGAGAACACAAAGCGTCTTTAAAAAAATGAAACATTTGTACCTGTTTATCTTCTGTTCCAAGAAAAAAAGTGATAAAGATCGATATCGTAAAATACCTTGACTTGTAACCAGACCTCAAGGACAAAGGCATCTTTTGGTAGCTCGAGGAAAAGAAAATCTATAAAGGCAGGAGAGGTATGGGCCCTGAAAAAGCTTTCTCTTCAGAAAACTCCAACTTACTGTTTCAACTTCATAACGTTTACATTCTCTTTATTTATAATGCTCACATTGGTTGAGTCTTAGTTTCTCTGTTGAAGTGAAATTTTTTTTTTTTTTTGAGACGGAGTCTCGCTCTGTCACCCAGGCTGGAGTGCAATGGCTTGATCTCAGCTCACCGCAACCTCTGCCTCTCGGGTTCAAGCGATTCTCCTGCTTCAGCCTCCCGAGTAGCTGGGACTACAGGCATGGGCCACCATGCCCAGCTAATTTTGTATTTTTAGTAGAGACGGGGTTTCTCCATGTTGGTCAGGCTGGTCTCAAACTCCCGCCCTCAGGTGATCCGCCTGTCTTGGCCTCCCAAAGTGCTAGGATTACAGGTGTGAGCCACTGCGCCCAGCCTGTTGAAGTAAATTTTAACTTTGCCACCCTTTTTCTTGGCTTATTTCTTTGGTTGATTTTTGTCGTTATTGTTTGGATGGATCTTCCCTGAGTTTTTGATGACTTGAGAAAGATTGTCAGTTGCCTTTTTACTTAAAGGAAAATGTGGCTAGCTAGAAGAGGACCACATCCGCTTCCCTCGGGACCTCACAGAAGTGGACGTCTCGGGCTCCAGGGAGGCTGAGTCTGAGGCTGGCCCGGCTCTCCTCCACACCCCTGTGCTTATTCTTTCTCAAAGGACGTTGATACGTTTGGTTTTCTGCTAAGTTTCACTTTCAGTGTTCTGTTTCAAATGCAAGAATCTGTGTTTATGGTAGATAAACACGTACCATAGGTGGATCATTGGAACCGCAACCTGAACCCAGCATGTGCCATTTTAAAACGTCTTCAATATTTGATAAAATTAACTATGCTTGCGGCCCAATAAACAGTTCTTGAAATTTGAATGCATTTTTATTTAATAACTCACAAGATAAAACTTTCTATAAGCATCAGCCTCATGAATATATTTCCTATGGAAGAGTCTACAGAATTGTTTGGTTTTAATTAGAGAGTTATTTAAAAAACAACAATAGGGGCTGCTTTTGACTTTCAGCAGAACAAGATGATCTTTACCTGAAAACAAGATAAAAATTCCAAAGTCAGGGATATTGTGATTTACAACAGTGATTTGTGTAATCATTTGAGAGCACGCCTAACAGTCTCAGTTAACCCTTCCAGGCCCCCAGAGAAGCTCCCTCCTATACCTCAGCGCTGCTTCCCGGCTGTGGGAGGCTTCCTGGCAATGTCCCCAGGGATCGCTCTCACCAGCCACATGCAGATTCTGCAGGCTGGAAGCACAGCCCCATGCCAAAGGGGATGTCAGGAACACACGCGTGAACACACACTTGATCGGTGAGAAGAAGACCTGAAGGGCTGGGGGGAGCCGTTGTATTTAAAATGCAGGATGCCGCCTGGCTGGGTCATAGGTGAGGGAGGGCGCACCTGACGCCATGTGCTTCTTGGCTGCTGCTCGCGTGGCTTGTGTTGTGTGCATGAGTGTGAGCGCGAGTATGCATGTGTGTCTGAGAGTGTCAGTGAGAGTGTATGTGCATGTGTGGGACAGCTTGTGAATGCCTGTGTGTGCATGTGTGAAGCTCTCTGCATGCAACTGTATGTATGCAAATGTGTGTGTATATGTGTGTACTTGTAAGTATGCATGCATTGTGTGTATGCATGTGTGGGTGTGTTTCAGCATGTGTGTCAGTGTGTGTATGGGTGAATATGGGTGTGTGTGCATGTGTGTGTATGCGTGTGAGTGTGAATGCATGTGTGATTATGTGCATGTGTGAGTGTGAACATTGTGCGTGTGAGTGTGAACATTGTGCGTGTGTGTGAATGTGTATATGCGTGTGAGTGTGCATGCATGTGAGTGTGCATGTGTGTGAGTGTGCATGAGTATGTTTGTGTTTCTCTGTGTGGAAAGGGTAGGGTGTCAATGTGTTCCCCGCAAATCCATCCACAGCAGTGCTTTGCTCACAGGTGTTTAACTACACTTGTGCCCCCCGTCCCCACCTAGATTTTCATCTTAGGAGGCCAGGGCAGGGCCTTTTCTGTGTTAAACTCTCCCAGAGGCTGAGCTCAAAGAGCAAGGGCCTGGGTTAAACAGCGCTGTGCACAGCTGGGGACCTGCCCTGGCCTCTGGGCTCTGGGAAGAGTGGGGTTTTCAGGGTGGAGGCTCCAGCAGCTATGTCCTGATCCTGCCCGCGCACTGTGCAGGAAGTGGCTCACAGCAATGCTGTGGGTGTCCTCAGGACCTGCCTGTGGGCCATGAGGCTGGGTCCAGGCCGGGGTTTGTGTAGACGGTGTGCCTCAGGGTAGGGGCTGGGCTGTGCGGCCTCCATGTGTGGGTCCTCAGGGCTGCCCAGGAGGTGCTCATTGTTGGTGTCCTCATTGTTGGTGTCCTCCAAGCTGAGCCTTGGGAGGGGCCGCAGCTCAGGGAGAAAAATTGTTCTGAGATGACTAATTACAGAAAACTGGCTGGCACAATATCCAGTTCCTGAAGACCCTGTAGGAAAGCAAAATATTTTACTCCAAACTGTATTTTTTTGACCTATGTTGATACGGCCCTGCAAAGCCATCTTTTGTGGGGGAAATTTGCATCTGTAGAGAATCTCCATTAATGCAGCCAGGCCTTCCTTTCTAGGCCTTTCCTGGATCTAAGGGAGATTAAATGAGAGTCTGACACTTTCAAAGTCTGAAAAGAGACATTCACCTTCTATTCTCTCTGAAGACAGTGACCTGGGAGGCTTCATCTGCATAACAAGAACCGTGGTCTCCACAACCCCCTTATCTTAACCCAAGCCTTTCTTTCTAGTGACTTCAAGTCTTTAAAAAATGTTTAGCTCTTTCACCCAATTGTCAATCAGAAAATCTTTGAATCCACCTGTGACCTGTAAGCACCCCAAGTTGGAGATGTCCCACCTCTTTAGGCAGAAGCAATTTACACCTTCCACGTATTGATCAATGTCTTTGCCTGTAACGTCTGTCTCCCTAAAATGTATAAAACCGAGCGGTGACCCAACTCCCTGGGCACACTTTCTCAGGACCTCTTGAGACTGTTCCCCGGGCCATGGTCACTCATATTGGCTTAGAAGAAACTTCTTTACATATTTTACAGAGTTTGGGGGGTTTTTCGGTCAACAATAGTATCAATTTGTGAACAGAAAATAAATTCGGGGGCCGGAAGATCACTAAGCTAAAGGGAAAAGTCAAGTTGGGAATTGCTCAGAGCAAACCTGCCTCCCACCCTAGACAATGTCATCTTTCTGCTCACTGAGACAAAATCATATCTGATTGCTTCCTTTGCAAAGGCTCATCAGAAACTCAAAAGAATACAACCATTTGTCTCTTACGTTCCTGTGACCTGGAAGCCCCCTCCCTGCTTCGAGTTGTCCCCACCTTTCTGGATGGATCCAATGTACATCTTACATATATGAATCGATGTCTCCTGTCTCCCTAAAATGTACAAAACCAAGCTGTGCCCCGACCACCTTGTGCACATGTCGTCAGGACCTCCTGATGCTGGGTCACAGGCACGTGTCCTCAATCTTGGCAAAATAAACTTTCTAAATGGACTGAGACCTGTCTCAGACATTCGAGGTTTACAAATTGCAAGATACTATTTCCTAGAAGATGTTTAGTGAAATAAATATTGACCATTCCTGATATTTTTACTTTATCATTGTGAATCTACTTATTCTGAAATATAGTAAAACATTTTACTACATTTTCTAATCAATAAATTATCTGGTGCACATTGCCTTAGGACATCATATGAGGCTGAATGTGTTAGAAAAATCATAACTGAAAAATTTAAGAAATGAGGCCAGGTGCAGTGGCTCACACCTGTGTAATCCCAGCACTTTGGGAGGCCAAGGTGGGTGGATCATCTGAGGTCAGGAGTTTGAGATGAGCATGGTGAAACCCTGTCTCTACTAAAATTACAAAATAAAAATTAGTTGGGTGTGGTGGTGCATGCCTGTAATCTCAGCTACTCAGGAGGCTGGGGCAGGAGAATTGCTTGAACCCAGGAGGCAGAGGTTGCAGAATCGCACCATTGCACTACAGCCTGGGCGACAGAGTGAGACTCCATCACACACAGTGGAGTGATCTCGGGTCACTACAACCTCCACCTCCCAGCCGCCTGCCTTGGCATCCCAAAGTGCCGAGATTGCAGCCTCTGCCGGGCCGCCACACCGTCTGGGAGGTGAGGAGCACCTCTGCCCGGCCGCCCCGTCTGGGAAGTGAGGAGCCCCTCTGCCTGGCCGCTGTGCAATCTTCCAAGTGTGAAGTGACAGCCTTTCTGCAGGTGTACCCAACAGCTCCGAAGAGACAGCGACCATCGAGAACGGGCCATGATGACGATGGCAGTTTTGTCAAAAACAAAAGGGGGAAATGTGGGGAAAAGAAAGAGAGATCAGATTGTTGTTGTGTCTGTGTAGAAAGAAGTAGACATAGGAGACTCCATTTTGTTCTGTACTAAGAAAAATTCTTCTGCCTTGGGATGCTGTTGATCTATGACCTTACCCCCAACCCGGTGCTCTCTGAAACATGTGCTGTGTCCACTCAGAGTTAAATGGATTAAGGGCGGTGCAAGATGTGCTTTGTTAAACAGATGCTTGAAGGCAGCATGCTCGTTAAGAGTCATCACCACTCCCTAATCTCAAGTACCCAGGGACACAAACACTGCGAAAGACCGCAGGGTCCTCTGCCTAGGAAAACCAGAGACCTCTGTTCACTTGTTTGTCTGCTGACCTTCTCTCCACTATTATCCTATGACCCTGCCACATCCCCCTCTCCAAGAAACACCCAAGAATGATCAATAAATACTAAAAAATAAAAAATAAAAAAATGAGCCATGCACCCTGGTACTGCACCCCCCATCTGGGTGCCTCTGGGGAGGGTCCTCGTGGCACCCTGGTACTGCACCACCCACCTGGGTGTGTCTGGGGAGGGTCCTTGTGACACCCTCATACTGCACCCCCCACCTCGGTGTGTCTGGGGAGGGTCCTCCTGTTTCTTGTTAATGCACATCACACCCTTCATCCCAGGTAAGAAAAGGAAGATGGGGATGCTGAGAGGAGCCCTCTTCTTTTGTTTTATTATGTTTTCAACTCAAATATTCAAGGCCACTGAGACACAGGATCCATTTCCACGCCTAATCTTCCTTCACCAGTCTCTTGTTGAAGCATCTAAGAAGAGCAGGCCTCCCTTCATGCCATGGAGATCGGGAAATCACGGGCTCACAGGCAATTTGGGTGCACAGAAGAATCTGTCAGCCTCAAACACATCTCCTGGGGTCTTTTTAAAATTATGTTTGGCAGGCTTGATTTTGCCCCACCTTCCTGTGCAGCTTTACTGCAAGGCTATAAACATTTAAATGAAGCACCCAGGTGAGGGTGTTAATTGTTGAGATTCTAGTAGCTGATCTCCTGTCTGGGATTCTTTGAACTTGTTAATCATTGAAATGAGTCCATCTGGGGCTACTGAGAGGTCGCAGGCCTGACACCAACTCTCTGCTCTGACACAGGTTTGGGATGTGATGGAGAACGAGCTGCACAAGTCTCTGGGCTCCTGTAAAAGATTGGTTGCAGAAATGTCCTCAGAGTTGTTGGGAGGATTCAATAGAAGATGCATGCAAAGCACCTGGCTGAATGCCCAGAGCCCTGCAGACACTCAGGAATGAGTAACCATGCAGATTTTCTACGCCTTTAGACCAGATATTCTAAGAAACTTCCTGCTATAGATTAACTAGATCCTGATTGTGTTTTTCATTTCCAGGCTTAGAAGAAATAAAGGAAATATCCCAGGAGCAAAAACAAAACACACACATGCTCCTCTCAAGAGTCACTGGCATCCCAGCTGAAAAGTCAGCTCTACACCTATGGGACCTATGGGCCTGTTTCTGAGCTCTGTTTTGTCTCTTTGGTCTGAGTGTCTATCTGAGGCCAATACCACAGTACCAAATGCGATTGCTTTAGAGGAAGTCTTGAAATCAGATGAGGTAAGCCTTCCAGTTTTGTTCAGCCTGTTGGCTATTTTCTATGAATTTAAGAAGCAGCTGAAAATTGATGTTAATTACAAAAAAAAAAACCTACTGAGATTTTATTGGGATTGCTTTGAACAGATTAATTTAAGGAGAGAGACACCATCCAAATATCCAGTCGTCTGGTCCATGAACATGGTTTTCCTCTCTGTTTATTTAGGTCTTTTAAAACTTATCTTAGCAATATTTTCTAGTTTTCATTTTACAAGTCTTAAAAATATTTGTCAAATATTTATCAAAATGTTCCATATTTTGATGACTTTATAAATGATATTTAAATGTAAATTCCCAATTGTTCATTGCAAGTTTATAGAAACAGTTGTTCTGTGTATCCTCAGCCTTGGTAACTTCCCTCTTAGTTCTAGGCATTTTTTTGTGTCAATGAAAAGAGTCAAACTCTGTAAAGTATTTGAAGAGATTTATTATGAGCCAAAAGAGAGTGGCCAATGTCCTGTGACGCAGCCTCAGGAGATGCCGAGAACATGTGCCTCAGGTGGTCGGGGGCAGCTCGGTTTTCTACCTTTTAGGGAGACATGAGGTATCAATCAAACACGTGTAAGATGTACGTTGGTTTCATCTCGAAGGGTGGGACAACTCTAAGTGGGGGACTTCCAGGTCATTTAAGATTTAAAGATTTTCTGATTGGCAATTGGTTATTATCAATAGAAGGGAGTGTCTGGGTTATGATAGGGGATTGTAGAGACCAAGGTTTTATCATGCAAATGAAGCCTCCAGGTATAGACTGTAAATGTTTCTTCTCAGACTTAAGAGATCTGTGTTGATATTAATGCTAGTCAGCTTTTCCTGAATTCCAAATGGGAGAGGGAATAACGAGGCTCGTCGACCCCATTCCCATCATGGGCTGAGCTATTTTTTCAGGTTAACTCTGGAATGCCCTTGGCCAAGGGGAGGAGTCTGTTTAGATTGTTGGGGGGCTTAGAATTTATTTTTGGTTTACATGTTATGCAGAATTTTCTACAGATGATGATGCCCTCTGTGAGTAATGATAATCTCACTCTTTTCTTTCCAAACATGATGTGTTTTTTGCTTGTCTGAGTAAGCCGACTAGGATTCCTGGCACCATCGTGAACGGCTCTGGTGGGCACAGGCAGCCCTCTGCTGCTTCTGATCTTAGGTGGGAAACTGTCATATTTCACCACTAATAAAATTTTAAAAGACAATTCTGGCAAAGATCAGAAATGGCAAAGACAGTGGAGGGTGACAGAGGGGTTTGCCTGCAACAGTTCATGTTTTTTATTTTGTTAAAAGAGAGTTACAATTATTACAGAATATTATCGGGTAGAAAACAAATGGCATTTGTCTTACATTATTCTTTCTACTTTGCTTTTTGTTTTTAAAAAATATACCAGAGAAATGAAAATAAAGTCAGCCTCCATAAAATTATGAAGAAGAAAGGCAGTATCATAATGATTATGCAGGAACCAAGGACTGGCCTGGAAGATGGGCCCCCAAGCTCACAGGGACACCAGCAGGCACTGCTTCTAGACATGGAGCCTCAGTTCCAGAATGTCCCGTGACATGACCAGGAGTAGGGAACCAGCCCTCCCGACCTCCATGTCTTATTTGCCAGGCAGGGGTAACTGCAGGCTGGCCCTGACCAGGATGACCACTGGCTCCCACTGTGGATGCATTTCGTGCGTGGCCTGCATTGGACATCGGCTCACCCATGTGCTGGGGTGTCCAGGGTCCAGGGGAAGCTCCAGGACACATTTGAGGATCAGGAGAGCAACCTGCATAGTGCAGGACTCTTGTCAGGGAGACCACGACCCGGGAGCCTTTCCTAGAAGACACAGAGTCCCCAAAAATACCTGTGACAAGGGTCTCATCACAGCACTGTCTGAGAGTGCTTGGAGAGAGGGAACCTGCCTGCAGCTGTTCCCAGAGCAGTGGGGCGGGGGACACTCCCCTACTGAAGAAGGCATTTCCTTTTGGCGCCTCCAGTTCCCCCTGCCAGGACGTCAGCACCCAGGCTCTGATGTGGGCTGCTGGGGGCCACGGCACTGCAATGCTGCCCTGGATTGAATGGGGCGGGGGCTATAGATGTATAATACAAGTTGGATTTTAGAGACTTGGTATGTGGCATAGAGTCTCAAATGTCCAAAGATGTGTCGCATTGATTTCAGGGTGAGTGGATAGTTGTTCTGATATACTGAGTTCAGTAAAATACATCGGCAGCAGGAATTTTACCGGTTACTGTTTCGTTTTTGTAAATATGGCTACCACAAAATATAAGGGCACGCAGGTTCACGCCCTCACCCAGCACTGGCCTCCCCTTCCCAGACAATCAGCCACATCTTCGCCTGCCAGCATGGCCCCTTGTTCTCAGGGCTCCTGCCCTCATGCTCCTGTGTCCTCCAGTCCCCCTGCCCTCTAGGAAGCCTCGTGGCTGATGGGGCTTTGCTCAACCTGGTCTCGCGCTCACCTCCACCTTTGGCTCTAAGGCTTGTCATCCCTAAATGAGTGCCACCGTCACGGAAGCTTCAGGTCCACAGAGCTGGATGCCCCGGCCAGGCCTGCCAGCCTCATTCCTCGTCCAGAGCACAGTAGCTCCTGCAGGTTCCCCTCCTATTTGACCAAAATAACCCTCCCGATCCCCTAAATTTAAAACTTCAGTGTGGACCCTGCCTGGGGTTCCAGGACCCCAGCCCCTCTGCTTCGCTCTCCACAGCGTTTATCACTCGACCCGTACCAGGCTCCTTACCCGTTTCTCCTATTTCTCTCTCCCTTTAGGAGGGCAAGACTATTGTTCACTGCTATTTCCCCACAGCTAGAACGGTGCTTAGAGGTACGCAGGTGTGCACACCCAGGTGCACACACACAGGAATGCACACAGATACACACTCACAAATACACACACATCTTGTATGTGTGAAAATAAGTAAATCAAACATCTTCATATTGTTTCAGTACTTTAATATTTTAGCTCTTTAAAAGATTCCACATTTACATGGTAGTGTTTCCTATTCAGCATTTTTCCCTTGATCACTCTGTCCTATTCGAAAATATTCTAAAACAATTTCTGAAGCCAAACCATCGAACTCTTCAAGACTAGGTCTCTAAGCAAATATGCCAAACAGACCCGATTCAAAGTCAGGGAAACCACAAGGCTGTCAGCCCAGCATGTTCCGTTGAAAGGCGAGTCTGAAGCAACGTCCCAGACCCCTGAGGTGGGCTCCATCCCAGCAGCTCCCCTGGGTCTGTGCAGGGCCCCCCACGCCTCCGAGTCGGAGCCAGCTCTCAACTGGCCAAAAAGAAGATGTGATGACTGTGAGAGCCTCTCCAGGTCCTTCGGGTCGGACCTGTCACCTAATTGGGTGAATTACGGCTGAATAGGTGAGGACTGTTTAACTGCCTTCAGGCATCTTTCAGATTGTGTGGTTAGCTAAGCCAGCTGCTGCAAGAAATGGAAACAAACTCATTCCAGGGTTGCCTCTGGAAGACGCAGGTGCCCACGGCCCTCCAGTCCCCCTGAATCCTCATCTTAAAATAAAATAGGTTGGCCCTTTTTCATTACTAAACTTATTCAAATACAGGTGTCCAGCTTGCACGGAATTACCCTCCATTTTCCATTTTTATGCACTAAATGCATACGCATATTTCTAGACTATTAGTTTCTTCATTTTTTTCTTTACAAAAGAGGACTCTTTCTGCTTTTATTAATTTTGACGATTTTCTCTAATATACTGTAAGATTTAATGCATGTTATTTTCTAATTGCTGTATTTCATCCTGGATTAAAGTAACCTCAAAAAATAATCATCAAGAAGAGATGGAAAGAAAAGAGGGGAATGAGAAAAAAATGAACTTTACCTTTCAACAAATTTATAAAAAGATGTGTTTTTTATTCTTTACAAAAACTAAATTATTGTTCATAGGCTGAAGGCTGTTGAATTATGAGAAAGCGTCATTTGAAGAGATGGATGCCTGTGACCCCGCCAGGCTCTGCAGACCTGGAGGCGGCTCCAGATCTGGGGTGTGCGGCGCATTGTGTGTCCAACAGGTGATTAACTCTGCTGGTGACATGTGTTTTTAGATATGTGTGTCTTTTCTATGAGAGTAAATCATAAAGCCCACAGGATGTGCAAGCAGCCATTCTCGCTGGCCAGGCGGTGTTAGCGCTTGCAACGCACATAGATTATATCCAGGAGGATGCAGTCAATACTTTCTGGGTCCTTTTTAGGTTTTGGGGGCTTTGCAACACGCTTTACACTGCCCCTCATAAACCCGTCCTAACTGTGCGTTCCAGAAAATGTGCAGTTTCTTAAGTTTAGGAATTTTTTTTACGGCTTTTATTTTGAATGCTTGGATTCTTAACTTCTGGTCCCAGTGCAGGTTCATAAACAGACATGGGGACAGAGGTCTGCCTGGCCAGAGCTTAGTTCTGAGGGACACGCTTCGGCCATCCGGAGAGAGGGCCTGCTCCCCAGGCTGAGGAGACAACGGCCACGCCGGGGAGCACCACTCCCAGTCAGGGCCTAAAGCGTGGAGCCTGGGAAGAGGGGGCTTGCTCCTCCGCCTGCTCCTGGCAGTACACCCCAGGTCCCCCCGTTACCTAGGGAATGGCGCTGAGCAGGGCAGGTCCCAGGGCGCCATGGAGAGAAGGATGTCAGCCGCAAAGCCCTTGGGCGACCAGGCCCAGAGCCGCCCACTTGGGACAAGCCGCCAGGAGCAAGGGCACAGCTTTCTTCTGGGTCTCGCAGGCCCCTGGCTCTGCACAAATGGTGGGAGGGACCGATCCTACCCTGGAACCGTAGAACCTCGTCCAGCTCTGAGTCAGGAGCCATGGGGGCCATGGCCTTCCGGGCCTGCTGACCTGAGTAAGGGTCCCAGCACCGCTTCCAAGGCCGGGACAAACGCCTGCTCCTAGTGGGTCCCGCGTTGTTCCCGCTTGTTATCTAAGAGATGCGGTCAGCCCTTCGGAAGCCCTCCGACCCCGCCCAACCCCCACACTTCTCCGGCCGCTGCTCCTCTTCCCCCATTCAAGCCAGTCTGGCCTCCGGCTCTGTTCAGAGCAAGCCCAGCCTCCTTGTCATGGACTGGAAGGACCCCTGGCTCCAGGCTCCCGTCCTGCTCACACCCAGGAGTGTGGGCCACGCACTCCCGGAACCTAACTGTGGGTGAATGCTGGCCCTGGCTCCAGGCTCCCGTCCTGCTCACACCCAGGAGTGTGGGCTGTGCACTCCGGGAACCTAACTGGGGCTGGAGCTCGTCCTTGTCTCCTCTGACATCAGCTGGACGCACCATTTCTCTCCAAACCACAAACTCCCCTGAGCTGCCCTTTCTCTGGGAATGCATAGCTGTCGGGATCCCCACGGGCTATCACCTGCCAGGTTGAGGTCTGGCAGGAGTCTTCCTACCTCATGACAAAGCTTCAACCCTCTCCAGCCAGGAGACACTTAACTCTGCTCATTGCCCCTTTGAAGCTTGTGATATGAACAGACCCACATCCAGTACCATCTCTGCATCAAAAAGCTTTGGTTACGAGTGAGGGAAATCAGCTAAAACGCACTTATGCAAAAAAGGGACAAAATGAACTCTCATTAACTGGACAGTTCAAAAAGGGGAGGCTTCAGGCATGGCTCGATCCAGAGGTCAAACTCCTGCTGGTTGCTCTTGGTCTCCGTCTTACTCTCAGTTGGTGTTCAGGGCCATGCATGTTGCCTCCACATTTTGGCAAACATGTACTCTGGGCCCTGGGGGCTGAAGTCATCCACAGCTCTAGTGACTGCACACCTCAGCGACCTCTGCTTCCTCTGAGGTGAGCCTGGCAGGAGCACGTCCACAGGCAGTCACCAGAAATGAAGCCACTCAGGACTGTCACAGAGCCACAAGTGTCCAAGCCAAAAAGTCAAAGTGTAAAAAGGAAGAGGGAGCCCCCTCCACCCCTGCCTGAGGTGTTTAAACATGGCGAACACGGATAACTAAATGCCATTCAATCAAACCTTACTTTCTATTCCTTCTCTGTCATCGAGGGGCACAGCTCTGAGGGTAGAACATTTAGCATCTCATTAACAATGGCCGTGTGCTGCTGAATATCCGAGTGGGAAGCCAGAGTTTGCAGAGAAGCTTCGTGTGTGCTCCAGCCCATCGAGTGCCTGTTTACGGAGCAGGTGACAGGATTGAGGCTTCACCCGCTGCCTCCACATGTACAGCCATCGTGCAGGGCTCCTGCCGCGTTCAAAGGCATTACGTTATCTCTCAAGGGAAAGTCATACTTTTAAAATACAAAATTCTCTTTTATGCAGCAAAATTGCTGTCATACATATTTCAATGGAAAATTAAGTGTTGTAATAAAATATAACAAGGATGATAAAGGCATGTAGTATTTTATGCCATCGAATGCCATTATACCATCCCATACAATAAATTGGTACTGCTCTAAGTAACCTTCAAAACAATTTAGTGCTAAGTAAATAACTACACTTAGCTGTAAGTGGCAATACGGTATGAATTATAATTGTCAAATGACATCAATTGATCAGTCATAAGTCAATGACAGCATATAATTTTTCAGCAATACTTTTTCAACTAGGGAGTAGTCTCTATAAAAAGGACTTGTAATTAATTTCTAAGGAGAGTAAATATTCTTTGGAAAGACTGAGATGTGAGAAAATTACACCCTAACATAATTTAAGGAACAAAAGTTTTGCAGGATGCGTGACAACTATTTTATAGTTTAAGAGGATGGCTTAGCTCATTGCAAAAGAAGAAGAGGGAACAAAGAGTTGGGGGAAGAACCAGCCCCTCTGTCCCCTGTCCTTCTATCTTGTCTGTGTGTCTGTATATCTGTCTCTCTGTGTCTCCATCCCTCTGTCCACTTTGTCCTTTATTTTCTCCAAACACCTCCTGTCTTCACAGAGCCATCTACACTCTGTGGCCCATATCTCTCCCTCGAAGCTCCACAGAGGGCCCCATCCCATCCCTGCTGCTGGAGGTCTATTTGGGCCTCCAAATAGTCAAAGGCTGCTCATGTCTCCAAGTGGGCTCAGGTTGTGTTTTCAGGGGCACCTGTTTCTTAAGCTGTATCTAAATATGCTGGTTTCCCAAGGATACATCTCTCGGCTCCACTGAAGCCACAATTCTCCTTGGGAGAAATTATGTATCAGTAACTTCAGCTTCCTTGCACATAGCAATGAAACATACATTAGCATTCCCTTTATTGTAAATAATTTTCTCAGCTAAGGAAACACACTTTATGCTTATTGGAAATTGTCAACTTCATGGCTCACAGACCCCCAGATTTTAATGTGACATGCATCAAAACAGACACACACTGTCATCATCATCATCCTTATATTTAAAAAGATCATTTATGTTTAAATGTGGTTCTTCCCTCCAATTCCAGATCTTAGTTAACCACGCCCCCAGTTTTGGAGCCACCCAGGCGAGAATCCCAGTGACCACCTTTCCATTCTCCTTGTCTCCTGGTCACGAGAGCCCTGGATGCTGCCTGCTTTGCCCTTTCCTGCTCCTGCCAGTGGTGGGTACCCCCTTGCGACTGCAGCAGTGCCCATCTGTGACGCTGCAAGGCGTCTGGGGCAGTGCTGTCCACACTGAGGGTCTCCCTCCATCAGTCCTACACCTTGGCAGCAGTCATTTTGTTCAAATACAAGAGCGACCATCGCAGTCCTCGGCGACCTCTCTCACCTCAAGTCAATACCAAACTCCCTAAAATGTCAAAATCTGACCCTCCCTACTGCCCCAGGCCCCTGAGTGTCAGGCACTGCCCCCGACCAGTCTGTAAATGACTAGCCCCTCATTAACCCATGGAGGAAGCACAAGTTCCCAGCAAATCCCCATCACACCCTTGCGTCCAAAAGAGACACGGCAGAGAATTGCCACCCGATGTTCGGTATCTATCATTGGCTACCCTTGAGTCCAGAAGAGACACGGTGGAGAATCACCACTGGATGTTCAGTATGTCATTGGCTGCCAAAATATAATGGAGCTTAGAACTCAGGCTGCAGGCTCTGTATTTCAGTCTTTTTTTTTTTTAATTTTATTATGATTATACTTTAAGTTTTAGGGTACATGTGCACGACGTGCAGGTTTGTTACATATGTATACATGTGCCATGCTGGCATGCTGCACCCATTAACTCGTCATTTAGCATTAGGTATATCTCCTAATGCTATCCCTCCCCGCTCCCCCAACCCCACAACAGGCCCCGGTGTGTGATGTTCCCCTTCCTGTGTCCATGTGTTCTCGTCGTTCATTCTTTGTTCCAGATTCATATTCATAACACAGTTTCTTGAAGCTTATTCATTGTTCTTCTCTATGTTATGATTCCAATAATAGTGACTACCTGCAAATTTCTGTTAAATTATAGGCTTGTTAAGATGTAATTCACAGACCACGATCGTCATCACTTTCAAGTATACACTTCAACATTTTTAGTGTATTCATAGAGATGTCCAACCATCACTGCTATATAATTTTACAACATTTAAATCATCCTAAAATGAACCTTGGACTCAACAGCAGTCATTCCCCTTCCTCCCTCTCCCCCAAGCCCTGGCGACCACAAATCTACTTTCTGCCTCTGTGGATTTGCTGATTATAGACATTTCATGCAAATGGAATCTTAACATTTCATGTAAATAGAATCTTTGGTTTATTTCATTTAAAGTGATGTTTTGATGATGCAACTATTTTACAACATTTTTTCATTTCTTTTTATTGCTGATAATAATCTGTTGTATGAATATACCACATTTTGGTTCTCCATTTATCAGTTGTTGAACATTTGATGTGTTTCCTTTTTTTGGTATTATGATCAATACCAAATGTTGCTATGAACATTTGTGTACTAGCTTTTGTGTGTGAATATTACCACAGTTCTCCTAAGTATACATTCAGGAATGAAATAGCTGAATTATATGGTAACTCTGTTGCAGTTTTGAGGATCTGCCAAACTGTTTTCCAAAGTGGCTGCATTTTCCAATTCCATTAACAATGATTGAAGCTTCTGATATTTTCACCCCTCTCTCTCTCTCTCTCTCTCTCTCTCGTGTCAATGTAGTTGTTGTGAAGTGATGTTTTATTGTGGTTTAATTTGCATTTTCCTAATTAATAATTTTGAGCATTTTCAAAGGCTTATGGGTCATCTGTATATCTTTTTAGGAGAACTATCTAGTTTTTGTTCATTTAATTTGCTTGTATTTCTTTTTATCACTGGTTATTAGCATTCTTTATATATTTGTATAACAGTGCTTTATCAGATTTGTGATTTGCAAATATTTTCTCCCATTCTGTGTGTTGTCTTTACACATACTTGAGGGTGTCTTTTGAAACTGCAAGATAATCTTTAAATTTATTTTGAATATTTACAAAATTGTGATAAAGTCCAAATTATCTGATGTGTCTTTTGTTGCTTGTGCTTTTGGTGTCAGTTCTAATAAATCATCGCCAAATCCAAGGTCACACAGAATGTACTCCTATGTTTTCTGCTAAAAGTTTTATAGTTTTAACCTTACTTTTAGACCTATGATTCATTTTGAATTAAAATTGTATATGGTGTGAAGTAGAAATCAAATTACATTCTTTTGCAGGTGGATATCCAGTTGTCCTAGTACCATTTGTTGTAAAGACCATTCTTTCCTCCTTGAATTCCATTGGCACACTTGTCAAAAATCAATTGGCCATAAATATAAGGGCTTATTTCTAGACTTTCAGTTCAATTTCATTGATGTATGTATCTATCTTTATGCCTCTGTCATACTGTTTTTACTACTGTAGCTTGGCTGTGCCACTTTGAAATCATGAAGCACGAATCCAACAACTTTGTTTAAAATTTTCTTTAAGATTGTTTTTGGTGTTTGTAGCTCCTTATATTTCCATATGAATTTTAGGATTAACTAGTCAATTTCTAGAAGTAAAGCAGCTGAGTTGAAATTTTTGAAAGGGATTTTGTTGAATCTGCAGATCAATTTGACCTTAACAGTGTTAAGTTTTCCAATCCATAAGCATAAAATATCATTCTATGTATCTAATTTTTTAAACAGTGTTTTGTAGTTTACAGTAACAAGTCATAACTTTTTTGTTATATTTCTTCCTATTTGATTCATCGATGCTATTGTAAATGAAATTGTTTTAATTTGATTTTTGAAATTTTTATTGCCATCATATAGGTCTACAGTTGATTTTTGTATATTGTTCATGTACCCAGCAACATTTCTGAAGTCATTTATTCATTAAAATTGTGTGTGTGTTTCTAGAGATTTCCATATACAAGTTCATGTCATCCATAATAGAGTTTGACTTCTTTTTTTTTTTAATTATACTTTAAGTTTGAGGGTACATGTGCACAATGTGCAGGTTTGTTACATATGTATACATGTGCCATGTTGGTGTGCTGCACCCATTAACTCGTCGTTTAGCATTAGGTATATCTCCTAATGCTATAAAGACACATGCACACGTATGTTTATTGTGGCACTATTCACAATAGCAAAGACTTGGAACCAACCCAAACATCCAACAATGATAGACTGGATTAAGAAAATGCGGCACATATACACCATGGAATACTATGCAGCCATAAAAAATGATGAGTTCATGTCCTTTGCAAGGACATGGATGAAGCTGGAAACCATCATTCTCAGCAAACTATCGCAGGAGTTTGACTTCTTTCTTCCAACCCAGATGACTTGCATTTCATTGCCTTGCCTGATTGCCTCACAGGAACATCGATGACAATGTTCAATAGAAGTTGAGAGTGTGAACGTCCTTGTACTGTTCCTGATCTTAAGAGGAAAGCATTTGGTCTTTCAAATTTAAGTGTGCTGTGGGCTTTTCTTAGAAGGATTTTATCAGATTGAGGAAGTTTCCTTCTATGTTTAGCTCATTCATCTTTTATCCTTAAAAAGATGTTGGATTTTGTCAAATGAATTTTTTGCATCTTTTGAGATTATTATGGTTTTTAAAATTCTTTTAATACAGTGTATTGCTTTGTTTCCTTATGTTAAATCAACTGTGCATTCCTGAAGTTAATCCCAGTCATTCATGGTGTATAATTCCTTCTTATATATTGCTGGATTCAATTTGCTAATATTTTTGCCAATATTTGTATCTCTATTCATAAGGGATATCGATTATTATCTTGTGAGTTCTCTGTGCAGTTTTGGTACCAGGGTAATCCTGGGACTATGGAATGAATGAGTTGAGACTATTCTCTCTTCTTCTGTTTTGGTTTTGGCCTTTTGACATGTTTTGAGTGACTGGTATTAATTCTTCTTTAAATATTTAGTAGAATTCATGCATGAAGCTATCTGGGGCTGGCCTTTTCTTTGTGGAAAGTTTATTGATTACTAATCCAATCTCTTTACTGTTATTGCTCTATTTAGATTTTCTATTTCTTTTGGAGATTTTCCAGAAATTTGTCAACTTCTTTTAGTTTATCTAATTTTTAGCATACAATTATTTATTATATTTGCTTATAATCCTTCTCATTTCCTAAGGTCAGTAGTAATGCCCTTTATTTCATTGCTGATTTTAGTAATTTTAATCTTTATTATTCCTTGGTCAGCCTATCTAAAGGTTTGTTAAATTTGCTGAGGTTTTCAAAAACTAACTTTTGGTTTCAAGAATTGTTGCTACTGTTGTTTAATTCTCTATTTAATTTACCCCCCATCGTATCTTTATTTCCTTCCTTGTGTCTGCTGCACATGAGTTGTGTTTATTCTTCTCATTTCTTAAGATTGAAGATTACGTTATTGACTTGAAATATTTCTTTTTAAATACAGGCATTTTTACCTTTAAATTTTCTCCTAAGTACTATTTCCCATAAATTTTAGTATCTTGTGTTTGCCTTTTAATTAGTATTCAGTTATTTTATAATTTTATTAAATTGTGTTCTTGAATTCTTTGGTTATTTGCATTGTTTCACCTGTTTTTGAATTTCCCAAGTTCCTTCCTGGTATTGATTCCTCCTATCATTCCGTTTTGTTCAGGGAGCATAACTTTCGCATCTCAGTCCTTCTCCATTTCCTGAGGCTTCTTCAGGCTCTGGTGTGTGGTCCACCCTGGAGAATGTCTCGCTCTCCTCTCGAGAGGAACGTGGCTGCGGCTCTGCGTGGACCGTTTGGCAGAGGCTCATATGCTGGATCCACTGGTTGGTTCACGGGGTTCATTCCTGTCTGTTGATCTTCTACCTAGTGGCTCCATCACTCATTCAAGGTAGGACCAGTGAAGTCACCAACGTTCACTGTCAGATTGTCTATTTCTCCCTTTAGTTCTGTCGTTTTTTACGTTGTGTATTTTGGGGCTCTGGTGTTAGGCGATGTGTGTCCATATATTTCTCCCTTTAATTCTGTCCGTTTTTACTTTGCATATTTTGGGCTCTGGTGTTGGGTGATATGTGTCCATATTTGTTACGTCTTGGGAGAGATTGACCTTTTTGTTTTTATAAAATGTCCTTTTGGTGTCTCAAACAACGACTTTTGGCTTAAAGTCTATTTTGTCTGCATTCAGCCACCCGATGTCCCTTTTGATTATTGTTTACACGGTTCGTCTTTTTCCACCTTTCCCCGTTGGACTCTGACGCGTCTCTGCTGTGGGAAGCGCATCGCCGCCCCGGCGTCTCTCTCCGCTGCGGGGAGCCCATCGCGGCCCCGGCGTCTCTCTCCGCTGCGGGGAGCGCATCGCGGCCCCGGCGTCTCTCTCCGCTGCGGGGAGCCCATCGCCGCCCCGGCGTCTCTCTCCGCTGCGGGGAGCCCATCGCCGCCCCGGCGTCTCTCTCCGCTGCGGGGAGCCCATCGCGGCCCCGGCGTCTCTCTCCGCTGCGGGGAGCCCATCGCGGCCCCGGCGTCTCTCTCCGCTGCGGGGAGCCCATCGCGGCCCCGGCGTCTCTCTCCGCTGCGGGGAGCCCATCGCCGCCCCGGCGTCTCTCTCCGCTGCGGGGAGCCCATCGCCGCCCCGGCGTCTCTCTCCGCTGCGGGGAGCCCATCGCCGCCCCGGCGTCTCTCTCCGCTGCGGGGAGCCCATCGCCGCCCCGGCGTCTCTCTCCGCTGCGGGGAGCCCATCGCGGCCCCGGCGTCTCTCTCCGCTGCGGGGAGCCCATCGCCGCCCCGGCGTCTCTCTCCGCTGCGGGGAGCCCATCGCCGCCCCGGCGTCTGTCTCCGCTGCGGGGAGCCCATCGCCGCCCCGGCGTCTGTCTCCGCTGCGGGGAGCCCATCGCCGCCCCGGCGTCTGTCTCCGCTGCGGGGAGCCCATCGCCGCCCCGGCGTCTGTCTCCGCTGCGGGGAGCCCATCGCCGCCCCGGCGTCTGTCTCCGCTGCGGGGAGCCCATCGCCGCCCCGGCGTCTGTCTCCGCTGCGGGGAGCCCATCGCCGCCCCGGCGTCTGTCTCCGCTGCGGGGAGCCCATCGCCGCCCCGGCGTCTGTCTCCGCTGCGGGGAGCCCATCGCCGCCCCGGCGTCTGTCTCCGCTGCGGGGAGCCCATCGCGGCTCTGGCGTCTCTCTCCGCTGCGGGGAGCCCATCGCCGCCCCGGCGTCTCTCTCCGCTGCGGGGAGCCCATCGCGGCTCTGGCGTCTCTCTCCGCTGCGGGGAGCCCATCGCCGCCCCGGCGTCTCTCTCCGCTGTGGGAAGCGCATCGCCGCCCCGGCATCTCTCTCCGCTGCGGGAAGCCCATCTCTGGGCTGCGCTGCTTCCTGTTCTGCCGCCCTTTGCTTTCTGGCCGCGATTCCACTGAATGTGATCACTGAAAAGGTGGGATTTGCGTCCACTGTTTTACCAGTTGTTTTCTCTATGGCTTGTATCTGTTTTGTTTCTTTACTCTTCTTTTACTGCCTACTTTTATGTTAAACAGATATTTCATTTATACAATTTTAATTATTTTGATGTTTCTTTTACTCCTTTTTAATTTACTTGCTCAGTGGTTGTTCTGGAGAATGTAATTAAAATCGTATCTTAAAGCAAACTACTGCAAATTAATACCAAATTAATCTCCATAGTATGCAATAATGCGGTTATTAAACAAAATTGGTTAACAACTTTGGACCAGCCTTTGGATAGTGTCCTGGTCTAGGCCCAGCAGAACCGACCAAGCCAGAATGGAGTCCCCTGTGCTAAGGCCCACATCACCAAACTGACGTTGGAAATGGACAGTTTTCAAAAAATCTCAGGCCATTGAAATCAACCTGAGTCCACCTAACACAGAAGCCCTCTATTTTTTAACCCTTGAAGGAAAGTAGCCTGGAAACGACCCACCTGCCTTCTGTGTTTCATTCCTGCTCTCCAGAGGCTCTTCTATCTGCAGAGCCTCAGTTCACGGGACACTATCGCTCAGCTCGCGGGACACCCCCGCTCAGTTCACGGGACAACCCCGCTCAGTTCATGGGACACCCCCACTCAGTTCACGAAACACCATTGCTCAGTTCACGGGACACCCCCTCTCAGTTCATGGGACACCCCCGCTCAGTTCGCAGGACACCCCCGCTCAGTTCATGGGACACCCCCACTCAGTTCACGAAACACCATTGCTCAGTTCACGGGACACCCCCACTGAGTTCACGGGACACCCCCGCTAAGTTCGCAGGACACCCCCGCTCAGTTCATGGGACACCCCCACTCAGTTCACGGGACACCATCGCTCAGTTCATGGGACACCCCCGCTCAGTTCACGGGACACCATCGCTCAGTTCACGGGACACCCCCGCTCAGTTCATGGGACACCCCCACTCAGTTCACGGGACACCCCCGCTCAGTTCATGGGACACCCCCGCTCAGTTCGCAGGACACCCCCGCTCAGTTCATGGGACACCCCCACTCAGTTCACGAAACACCATTGCTCAGTTCACGGGACACCCCCACTGAGTTCATGGGACACCCCCACTCAGTTCACGGGACACCATCGCTCAGTTCACGGGACACCATCGCTCAGTTCACGGGACACCCCCACTCTGTTCACGGGACACCCCACCCAGTTCACGGGACACCATCGCTCAGTTCACGGGACAACCCCACTCAGTTCATGGGACACCCCCACTCAGTTCACGGGACACCATCGCTCAGTTCACGGGACACCCCCACTCAGTTCACAGGACACCCCCACTCAGTTCACGGGACACCCCCACTCAGTTCACGGGACACCATCACTCAGTTCACGGGACACCCCCACTCAGTTCACAGGACACCCCACCCAGTTCACAGGACAATCCTGCTCAGTTTGCAGGACACCCCCACTCAGTTCACGGGACACCCCACCCAGTTCACAGGACACCCCCACTCAGTTCACGGGACACCCCCACTCAGTTCACGGGACACCATCGCTCAGTTCATGGGACACCCCCACTCAGTTCACAGGACACCCCACCCAGTTCACAGGACAACCCTGCTCAGTTTGCAGGACACCCCCACTCAGTTCACGAAACACCATTGCTCAGTTAACAGGACACCATCGCTCAGTTCATGGGACACCATCGCTCAGTTGACTGCACCCATCCTGCTTCCAAGGCCAGGTGTTCCCAAGTCTAGAATCACAAATAGAAGCCAATTCAGTCTTTAAACTAGATTTGTTGTAATTTTGCCTCTGACACCATAACAGCCTGGGGACTTGTCCACAAGGCTGGACTGAGGGCCCCTGTGGGGTCTGTGTGGAGGTGACGCTGGGTGTGGAGAGTTCCGGTGACTGTCTCCCTGATTTTGCATATTGAAGGGGTGCAAAAAGGTTGCAGCTATTTCTGACACCAAGCCAGTCCTGTGTTAGCGACCCCTTGACATGGAGTGTGTGTCAGGAAAGAAGATCCCAAGGGAAGCCCAGCTCCTGTTAGGGATGAACTCAGGTTTCCACAGCTGGGCTTGGGGGGCCACAGGTGACCCCGCACCCCCCCGTGCTGCATCCTGCAGGAAGGTCCAGGCTCGCTGCATCCCCACTCCCCTTTGCTGATGGCTAAGGAGGCTCAGAGTGAAGCCTCAGCCAGATGTCTATGGAGGCCCCTCCCCAACTTCTGGCGGCTCTGAGGGGCCCCTGCTTCTAGGAGGAACAAGGTTGCCAGATGAGGGAGACCTTGGCGAGTGTGTCTGATGAGCACATTCATTTGGCCAGGCTGCCTTCTCCTTTCCAGATGTTCATTTCAGACTCCCCGGAATTGCACATTTATCAGCCCTTACCTTGTGAAGGGCGTCTGTAATTGTTACAGCGTGATGTGAAAATGCATTCTGGGATGTGCAAGCTGAGAACAAACGTGGGCAGCTCTGAACCTGCGTGCCCACCCCAGTTCCCCGTGTGCCCACCCCAGTTCCCCGTGTGCCCACTCCAGTTTCCTACGGGCCCACTCCAGTTCCCTGTGTGCCCGCCCCAGTTCTGCTAGCAGAGGCTCTCTGTCTTAAAGTCCCACAGAATAGCATCAAATTACTGGATATAGAAACCACTTCAAAGCAATGGTTCCCACAAAATCAGATCTTCTTGTATTAAGCAATGTTTTATATAAGATGTGTGTGCCTTTTAGAAACAGTTTTTCTTCCTTGATGAATGTTGGTCTTTAAAATTAATGATGAGTAAGGAAATTTGCATAAAATCACTCTCTCCATCAGGAGGCAAGCTGAGTGTTTCGATGATATTTATGGGAAAGGAAAGCTAAGGAACCAGGTGGAATTTGATCAGAGGTGGCACTGGGGTTGGGAGGGCATTGCCGACCAAAATGCCCCATGTCAGGGTGTGAAAGGAGCCAGAGCCATAAATTTGGGAAAGATGATGAATATCTTGAATTTGTGTGAGCAGCTTGGGTTTCTCAGATGTCAGTATCGGGGAGGGAGGAGACCTCTTTTAGGGGAGCTTTAAGGAAGTCTGATTAAACAGTGTCCTGAGAAGCTCCGTGGGAGGGCAAAACCGATTATGCTATGATAGATTGCCTTCATCCAAAGCAATAAAACCTACACAAGTGTCAGCAAAGTGTATCTAATTTGGCAAATGAAATTGTGACTATAGAAGGTATGTTTCTAAATGTGAAGTTTGTTAATTCAAGCACTGCTGTATTCACTGTGTTCTCTTCTCTGATGTGGAGCTGCATTTAGTTCATGGGTAACAGCCACACCTGTTCCATCCTCAGGTAACAGCCACACCTGCTCCATCCTCAGGTAACAGCCACACCTGCTCCATCCTCAGGTAACAGCCGCACCTGCTCCATCCTCAGGTAACAGCCGCACCTGCTCCATCCTCAGGTAACAGCCGCACCTGCTCCGTCCTCAGGTAACAGCCGCACCTGCTCCGTCCTCAGGTAACAGCCGCACCTGCTCCGTCCTCAGGTAACAGCCGCACCTGCTCAGTCCTCAGGTAACAGCCGCACCTGCTCCGTCCTCAGGTAACAGCCGCACCTGCTCCGTCCTGGGTTTCTTTCTCCGTGGCTCCTCGTTTGGTTTTCTGTTATTTTTCTCCTTTTCTATTTCTGCTGCTCTGTTGCCTGCCAGGATGTTTGAGCTTCCATCAGGGCTGCATTTTGGGGCCTTGCCTTCCTGTCAAGTGGTTCCATGTTCCAAACGCCACATCAGAGATCTCGGCTCTCTCACAAAAAAATTAGCATTTACTTTTTATGGGGCACACAGTGGTGGCTTCTTGGCTACTTTCTTAATATAAATGTGTGTATTTCTAACTCTATGATCAAAAGCCCATCAATCACCTCTCAGGCCAGAACTGGAATTGGAAACACCACTGAGTCTGCGGCAGTGAACCCAGGTTTCCACAGCGGCTGAGCAGCCACAACTGGCCCTCACCAGAGGGAGTTTGTATTAGTCCATTTTCATGACGCTGAGAAAGACACACGCGAGACTGGGCAATTTACAAAAGAAAGAGGCTTATTGGACTTACAGTTCCACTTGACTGGGGAGGCTTCACAATCCTGGCAGAAGGTGAAAGACACGTCTCACATGGTGGCAGGCAAGAGAAGAGAGCTTGTGCAGGGAAACTCCTCCTTAGAAAGCCATGAGATCTCATGAGACCATCATGAGAACAGTACAGGAAAGACCTGCCCACATGATTCAATCACCTCCCACCAGGTCCCTCCCACAACACATGGGAATTGTGGGAGCTACAGTTCAAGATAAGACTTGGGTGGTGAAACTGACAAACCATATCAGGGTTTAAATGGGACCCGGGTTTCTGCAGCAGCAGGGGTGGCAACAGCAGCTAGGGCCTGGAATGACCCAGGAATGCAGCATGGTGGGGGCCAGGGGACCTCAGGGGTGGGGTTCCTGATGTGGCCATTCTCTTAATCCCCAAATCACTCCTGGAGCTCAGCCGAGAACCCACCCTCTCATATTGTGGGTTCTCAGCCCCTTGTGTGACTCTCTGCCTAGGTACCTGGAGGGGTCACTGCCCCGGTTGCCCCACCAGACAGGATGCTGTCTCCACCAAGGTAACCCATTGTTCCAGGTGGGTTTCTTTGTCCTTTCCCTTCATCCCCATTCTCTGTGTCCCTTGCTGTCACCGCTCTGGCCCTGTAGAAGGTTCTGATGTGATTTAGGGGTGTCTCTACCTGGGAGGGCGGACACGTGCATGTGTGCACATCTGTTATTCTCGTTTATGTTAATCACACTCTTAGGTGCCATTTCGTTTACCTTTATTTTTAAATTTTGTAGGTGTTGCTTTTTTCATCCTTTATTTCTTAGTGTCGAGTGGATGCTTCTTTGGTGACCCCAAAACTCTCTGTGTGCACCCTGGGGACGGATGCAGGTGGGCCTCAGGACCCCGCCTCCACCCACAGGGTGTGGATGACCACCCCAATGCACAGTCTCTTATGAGAACAGGTAATTGGAGTGACAAAAATTGTATCAGACGGTTTTAAACAAGCAAGAAAGGCTTTATTCAAGACCATGCGGTAAGGGAGAGCCCCCAGCTCCTCTGCAGCACATGGCAGGAGGGCTGAGGAGCCTGAGGGGCCACCGAGCAGGTGGGAGAGCCCTGGAGGCCTCAGCAGGGGGCCAGCCCCCTAACCCTCCTCAGAGGCCCCCTAACCCTCCACAGGGCTTGGGGGGCTGGGCCATTTCTTTCTCGATGCCTCATTTTCCAAGGCAGCTCCCAGGCCTGAAGAAGGACATTTCCTGGGCTGTGGAACTGGCCAGTGGCTGGAAGAAGATTTACACCTGGAAGAGGCAGAGAGAGTTTACAATTTTACGTTTTCCAAAGTCAGTGCTCTGGACAGGGGAGGTTGACACCCGAGTCAGGAAGAAATCTGTCTGGAGTGAGCGAAGCCTGGGGGAGGGAAGGCCGCCTCGGCCGGGGTGTGGCCGGCAGCCAAGCTGTTGGCGCAGAGGTGTCCTGACCATGGTGCTCCAGGATCGCTGCTCTGGGCCCACCGGCAGGGTCCAGGGTTCCTGTGTCACCAGCCAGGGGCCTGACAGCTGGCTGAAGCCCTCACTTTCCTCCACATGCCTGGCTTGGCTGGGAGGCCCCTGTTTGAGCCCCTCATCCATGCTGTCCTCACCGAGCAGCGGACTCTCAGTGGCTGTGCCTAGGAGTGTGCACTGCCCAGTGACCCTCATGATGCTCCACGCATGCACAGGCGCGTCTGCAGGGCAGCTGGGTCCTCCACAGGCGTGTGATCGGCAGGAGCCAACACCTCTGCTCTGCCCAGGTGTACCCAGGGCAATGCTCTTCATCCTGACGGCAGTGCGCCCAGCCTGCTGCTGACACGACATAAGGAAGCTTCAGTGCAGAGGCTGAAGGACCCGTACCAGGGCTCCAGCAGCTCACAGTGGGTGGACAGGTCACTGCTGCAGCACCTGAGATTGGGCAGGTAAACCTGGGGCATGCTTGGTAGTAAGACTCCGCTGGACAGGCGTGGGGCGGACACCACCTGCCTGTGTCCCCCAGCATGGGCGGAGAGCGGCCATCACATGGTCAGCCAGGTCTGGGCCACAGGGAGCTGAGTCCTCCTCTCCATCAATTCCCGCTGAGCTCTCCCTCCTGTGGGCTCTGCACCTCTCTCCTCCTCACATTAGGTCACGTGTGTGTCTGTAACTGTACGTGGGGTGCATGGACACAGATGACCCTTCAGCCAGGGCCACTATCTGGGGTGCAAACCACTGGCTGCCGTCCAAGTGGGGAACGGCCTCTTGGGTCCATCCTCCCCGGGAAGAAAACTCAACAGTGGCGTTTCAAGTTTTGCTACATCTGAGCAGCCTCAGCCCTGCAGGCTGGATTCACTTTCTGCAGACTCAGCGGCCCCAGGTGTCTGGGGCCCCTCTGTCCTCTGTGGGTCTCAATTTTCTGTGTGGGATGTTCCTCGTTCGCACCCTCTCTGCTTCAGTTGGCTGGTGGAATGAACCCCATTGACTTTTATTCTCTAAAAGGTTGGATTCATCTTTGCTGAGTCAACAACTGAGGAGAACAAAACTCCAGAGAGAAACCGGAATTAGAGCTGGGAGTTTAGCCGGGCACGGTGGCTCACACCTGTAATCTCAGCACTTTGGGAGGCCGAGGCAAAAATTAGCTGGGTGTGGTGACACCCACCTGCAGTCCTAGCTACTCTGTAGGCTAAGGCAGGAGAATTGCTTGAACCTGGAAGGTGGAGGTTGCAGTGAGATTGCACCACTGCACTCCAGCCTGGGCGACAGAGTGAGACTCTGTCTCAAAACAAACAAACAAACAAGAGCTGGGAGTGCATTGTCCCAGCGCCTCCAGGCTGTAATTAGGACGCCTGGCAGGGGTCAAGGTTGTCAGTCTCCAAAGCTCCAGCCAGTGTGTCTGTCCTTCAAAAGCACTGGTCCCAGTGCCACAGTGACCATCTGAAGTGGTGACAGTGGCCAGGCTGTGGCCAACGGGACTCCCCACCCCCACCATAAACTTTTGCCTTTTCCTTCCCTTTTCAAGTGGGCCTTAAAGCACTTCTGGAAATTAAAGGTTGATTTAGGATATCGACTCTCAGCCCTGATTTCCATACCTGATCAAAGGCTTCCCTGTAGGGTGCCGTGAGCTTGGGCTGTCTGGGCACCTGCAGGCCCTGGGGGTCACATGTCACGGGGAGGAGGGAGGCCTCAGTCCCCGGGGTGAAGGGACACACCCACCCACCCTGGTCTCCGAAGCTCTTCCCTCTCCCCATCTCCAGGGTGGAGAGGCAGTGAGTCGGGGATACGATGGCGGAAGGGGAGGCGACCTCCCTCTGGGATTCGAATCCAGCCCTCCCACCTGGCAGTCATGGGACCTCCCTAAGCGGTTTAACTGCCAAGTCCCAGATCCCATCTGTGAAGCCAGGTGATAAAAGCTGTGGGTCACTGGGTCTCCTGGGTTCCCAGAGGTGCCCATGGCCGTCTCTAGAACAGCAGCTCCCCGTGGGTGGCACCTGTGTTCCCAGGCACAGTCCCGCCTGGATGCCTCCAGCCCACCTGGAGCTGTGAATGAACCAGCACCTTTCCCGCCTCCTTCCAGCCCTCCGACCATGGCCTCTCGCAGGACCCCTGGGAATCACCCTCATCTGTCACTGTTTCCCCACCGGGACCCACCACCGAGGCTACCAGGGAAAAGCCACAGGATTTGTTTGCATCTGGGGAGGCAGCTCCACCTTCCTGGCATGAATGGTCACTAATGATTGGACTTTGTCAGCCTGCAAGGCAGGAAGGAGATTTACTCTCCACAGACTGGACAGTCCTTAGCTTTGTGCTTGCCACATAAATGGCATTTAATACATGCTCCCTGGACTCAGCACCACTCCTGAAGGCCTGTATTGTGGTCAGCAGTTATCATTTCTTCCACAAATGAGCTCATTCTTCTCCTCTCAGGATCAACCCTTTCGCCTTCACTGAGGCATCAGACACCAGCATTCGGAGGGACACCCACTCCATCCTCTTCTCTCAGCTGCCTGTGGAAATTCCCATCTCAAACACGTGACTCCCCACAGAGTGGCACTCACTGATCACGGATCTTAACTTTAAAAGGTGAAAAATAAGTCAAGGCTTAAGGTAAAGTAACGGGAGGTGTGGATGTCTGAGCAATGCGGTGAACCGAGTCACGGGGCCGCGGAGATGTTCGCAGCTGGGACTTTCCAGGCCTCCCGAACGCAGAGCGCCCGAAGCCATCAGTGGCCACAGAGTGTGTTTCAGGTGTGATTTGGGGTCATTTATGCCAATTTTATTCTTCTTTTATTTCCATCTGGTTTTCTTTCTATAAATTGCATACGTCATGCATGCTACGTTTTATAGTCATCCGTGTGACATCCGTCTCGCACAGTGAGTTAAGGAGGACGTTCCGCTACAGCTGTACTTTTTACTCAGCAAAATAAAAAAAGAATAAAGATGAGCTTGAAACTCCTTTGGAATCACTACATTATCTGTTGCTTAGCAAAAGCAATCCATGAATAACACACATGTACACACATGATACACATTCATACACACACAAAAACACGTCTGCACATATGTGTATACATACACATAGAGACATAGGCACACATGCTCTGAAGGTCTGCATGGTGGAAAATTCTAGACATGTTCATTTCTACTTCCTGCCAAGCGCTGAAAACTTGGTGTGCCTGAAAAATCACTTGGCTTCTGTAACCAGATTTACCAAATTAAAAAATTAAAACTGTCCAAGTGTAGAGGCACTAGAGTTTTGTGTCATCATTATTTTTTGAACCACCAAACTTTTATGATGTTGTTGCATTTTTAACAATGCTTGAGTCAAATATCTCACGTAAAAAGAAAACTTCTAAAAAGAAAAAACAATCTAAAATCATGAAAATTTTTGAAAGCATAACCTGCAGTCTCTCCCTCCCCAAAATTGTGTGAATTTGTATGTCATGCATTGATTTCTTACAGTAGTCAGAATGTCAGCCGAATACCACAAAACACGTGTGTTTAGAGAGACTCCCCCGAAGTTGGGAGTGGTGAGAAATGGCGGGAGCTTGTCCCGAACAGACTCCTGGTGCCAACAATACCAGTGAGGAAGGTTCATCTCGAAAAACAAAAGCACTGAAGAGAAGCTGCATGAAACGAGGGGAACTTCACTTTTATCCTTAGATAAATGATTTTTTTAAATTTTGTGGCCACATAGGTGTATGAATTTATGGGGTATGTGAGATGTTTGGATACAGGCATGCAGTGTGAAGTAAGCACATCACAGAAAACGGGGCGTCTGTCCCCTCAAGCACTTATCCACTGAGTTACAAACAACCCAACTACACTCCCTAAGTTATTTTAAAATGCACAGTCAAGTTCTTACTGACTGTAGCCCCCCTGTTGTGCTATCGAACACCAGGTCTTACTCATTTTTCTATTTTTGCACCCATTAACCATCCCACCTCTCCCAGCCCCGCTACCCCTTCCAGCCTCTGGCAACCGTCCTTCCCCACCCCATGTCCATGAGTTCAATTGTTTCAATTTTTAAATCTGACAAATTAGTGAGAGAGAGAGAGCAATGTTTGCCTTTCTGTGCCTGGCTTAGAGAAATCATTTTAAAATTTCTGGTGTGCTTGATGGTGACAACTAACAGCCTGTGAGTTGGGGCTGCTCCGGTGAGGGGTGTGATGACGGGGAGGCTTCAGCCAGGTGGGCAACCAGGCCCTGACAATGGCCCAGCGGCGACGGGAGCCTGATGAATGTGCTGCAGGAGGTCAAGGCTGCACATCGATGTCCTCACGGCTGTGTGAATGGGTGTGAGACAGAGTCGTGCAAGTTCCAGCTGTGACTGATGAGAAAAATCACAGATATCACAATTTTCCCAGCCACAAAATGGGGGAGCAGCAGAGTGAGGGCCCAGTGCAGAGGAGAGACAGACACACCTGCACACGCACGGCGGGACGGGCAGCTGCATGCTCACCCCAGGACCTGGTGTGGAGGAGTACAGACACACCTGCACACTCACGGTGGGACAGACAGCCACACACTCACCCCAGGACCTGGTGCAGAGGTGGAGACAGACACACCTGCACACACACCCCAGGACCCAGCACGGAGGAGTACAGACACACCTGCACCCTCACGGTGGGATGGACAGCCACACACCCCTGCGTCCTCACATCCTCCCCTGGAACACAAGGATTTTGCATCTATCATGTAAGTGTGCATGAGTGTGAATGAGTAGGTGTGACTTGTGCAGCAGCCTGTGTGTGCGTGTGTGTGCAATGATCATGGCTGTGTGTGCAAACTGGCATGAGAGTGTGGGTGTGTGTTGCTGTCCAGCTGAGAGGACTGTGGGGGGAGTGAGTGGATGTCAGCCTCGGCCATGGCTTTCCATGCCCGACCTCTGAGCCAGCCCGGTCCCGCCTCCCACCTGCAGGCTGCGTGGGTCGCACCTGCAGTCTGCCCAGTGAGGCGCAGGTGTTTCTCACAAGTAGGGGCTGCTTTCCTCACAGCTCTGCTCACACCCATCCATCTCAGGGACTGCAGGCTGAGGTAAAATAGGTTTTTAAAGTAAGAAAATTGACTGAGAGCATGAGCCTGGCTGGCTGTGTTGATGGATTGTGGCCTTGAAGTGAGCCCTTGTACGTTTGTAGACTAAGAAACTCGATCCATGCCAGGCAAAATGAAAACCGCGTGAGAAAGGCTCTGTGACCCGGATTCCAAGGCCGTCGGCCGGGATCCGGGAATCTGGTTTGGCTGCCGTGGCCACTTGTGTCTGGTCCGCAGCGGCTCTGCTCAGGCCCAGATCCAGGCCTCTCCCGGAGAGCGATCCCTGCCCGCTCCTTCTTCACCCACACCGCGGCTTGGATCTCAGCTCTCAGCTCTGACCCTCCCCTCTGAGGTCCTGTGGACGTGTCCAGCTGTGGAAACCACCACTTTCAGGGTGAGGCCTCTGCCGTCCCAAATGCCCCTACTGGCCTTAAGATGTCCTTGAGACGGAGCCGTTCCCGGGGCTGCTGGCCGTGACCTCAGGCACCGCAGGCCCCACCTGCCAGGTCCACAGCTGCCCTTTTGCTCAATGGCATTTCTTTGAACACGGTTTTCAGGTTTTCTTTACGGGGTGTTCATAAAATCACATGCTGTCTTCTCGATCGTAGTAAGACAGGAACAAGCCTCGTGGACATCATGGGGCAGTCGAGGTGACCTGCTCTGCGAGGTGCTGCCTCGAGAGTGTGGATTCCCTCAGCGAGAGGCAGCAGCCGCCCAGCCCCGGGAGCCCCAGCCCAGGTTCAAAGCCCTGCGTTTCTTTTCAGTGTCTTCTGGATCTGAAGGAGGGGGTCCCGTGAAGTACAGACAGCTGTGTGTCTCCATAGCAGGGAGAAGCCCTCTCAATTGTCCCTTCCTGCAAATCCCCTTTCCTGATCCCAAAGCCGCAACAGTGGAACCTTCTGGAAGGTGGATTTCCAAGGATTGTCCTTATCCTAAAACTGCATTCAGGAAAGACACATTGACATGACTGGGGGCAGAGATGTGTAATGCAAATAAAGGTGTCGCTTTCATGTAACCTGAAAACTGAATTATTCATTAAAGGTTATTAAATTAAATATTTTCACCTGCATCAACTATGATTTTGCCTCAGCTTTCAAGCAAAACTCCCCTGAGTACCCCTTAGTAATCCATTTCTACACCTTTTGAATGGGATGAGTGTTACATGTATTTTACAACATTTCAAACCCAACACTCAGTGAAACCACAGGGCTTCATTACAGGGAATATCAGTTTTCAAAAAGCATAGACTATTGAATTCATGAATAAAAGAAAAAGGAATTGCAATTAGGTGGAAATGCTGAAAAGAATGTATTGTTCATTTAATTTTGAAAACAGCTCTATTTATTTAACGCGTGTTCAAAGCTGAAAGCACTGGTAAATCATGGATGGAATCACAGGCTCTGTCCTCAGGCCCAGCCTGCTGCTGGCTGCCGGCTCCCGGGAGCGCTCACACCTCACTCCTGCAGGGGAGGCTGCCCCTTAGTGTGCACCTCACTTTGTCTTCACCTTTCAAAACCGTGTTATGCATTATAAGTCTCGTTAAATGAAAACTTTATGTATCAGAAAGAATAGAAAGACCACAAAACATGTAGCCACATCTGAATTCCAGTGCCGTTGACTCTGCCAGATATTGGCTGGGCAAACTTGAGCAATTTGTTTAACCTTTCTGCACTGAATTTTTAAACTGCAAATTGACCATAATAACACTGGTTTCATGAAGTTTCCTAGGGATGCTGAAGACAAATGAGCCCAGTTAGACCCAGATGAAAGGAAGAAAGAGAAAAAGAGAGAGAGAGAGAACGAGGGCAGGGGAGAGGGAAAGGGCAGAGATGCAGCCTCGTTCTCACCCCTAAACGAGCTCAGTTATTCTGTGGCCTCTCAGTAATGTGGTTGCTTTCTCCTCTGTGGTGCCCCCAAGGTGGGCTTTGCAGTCTGTGTTATTTCCACCTCGCCGAGGAATAAGCTCCTTCTCAGACCTCAGGCCCTGGGCCACACTCCCTTTAACCAACACCATGAGATCTTTGCTCCCTCCATCGGCGCAACCGATGATGGTATTACCAAAGGCATTCACATAAAATGCAAAATAAAGAAGACAAGTTTGTGAGTTAAACCTTGGAGCATTTTGATTCCGAAGATCTGGAATCCATATCATTGTAACAGACTAGACTCACACTTAGTTTTAAATCATAGGCAGGAGTTTGGGGAACAATAAATAAGCACAGAAAATGGGCTAGGAGGAGGGTGGATGAAACTGATGGGCTGATCATGGTTCCAGGATGGTCTCACTGTGGAGGTGACAGGATGCGTGCTGCAGTGAAGGGCTGGGGTGCCACAGGAATGGGTGCCCCAGGTAGGGCGTCATCCAGGAAGGATGAGAAACACTGAGAACAGCTGGGTGGGAGCAGGGTCTGCCGGCTGCATGGGGGGTGGGGAGAGGAGCCCATGAGGGCCTGAGAGCAGCGAGGCTAGGCAGGAACCCTAATCCCTCATCTGCACATGACATGGGGCCTGCCGGAGCCCCGTGGAGCTTGGAATGGAACTGGGGAGGAGCGTTTGCCAGGCCTCCCATCCCCTCCTTCTGCCCACTGGGATTGCTCCTGAAGGAAGAAGAACCCATCGAGTCCCTTGTAAATGTGCTGGGGAGAGAACCCCTGACAGTGCCTGGTGCTCACTCCTGGGGAGCCACTGTCTACCCTCTGTCCTCTCTCGGGTGACCCCGGCTCTCAGCTCACTCCTGGGGGTGACCCCGGCTCTCGGCTCACTCTTGGGGAGCCGCTGTCTACCCTCTGCCCTCTCTTGGGTGACCCCGGCTCTCAGCTCACTCCTGGGGGTGACCCCTGCTCTCAGCTCACTCCTGGGGAGCCACCGTCTACCCTCTGCCCTCTCTCGGGTGACCCTGGGTCTCGGCTCACTCCTGGGGAGCCACTGTCTACCCTCTGCCCTCTCTCGGGTGACCCCAGCTCTCGGGTTGTTCTGGTACCATGGTTTCTGGGCTCGGGTCCATGGCACCTGGAAAATGTTGCATAAGTGAAATGATCTTCAAAGACCAAGAGGAGAGATGTTCCAGGCACCCCTCAGAGGCCCTATGAGGCAGGAAGGACAGTGGGGCTACAAGGTTCCCCAGCTTCTCCAGCTCAACCTGCGCCTGGAAATGACTCCCTGAAATCGTGAGCAGAGCTGGATGCGGGGTCAGTTCTGTGATCTGTGGGACTCTACCATTAATGGCTTCATTTATTTACACGGATCTAACCTTATATTTATCTACGTAAAGAAATAAATTTGTTATTTGTTAGATTCACCTGCACGTATCTTTTTAAGAATATTTTCCTAGCCAGTAAAGAAAATAAGTCAATTTTCTTTTTTCATTTCCCTATTGCTATGTGACGAAAGGTAATATTCTATACTTTTTGTATTAAAGGACTTCAAATTACTGATACTTTAGATGACTTCTAAAGTCTTTGCCGTATTCTCAATGAAGAATGTGAATGCCAGGTTAAAAGATCAACAATTAAATTACAGGTGTGTGTTCACCAGGAGGCCTGGTGTTATTTTCTTATTGGCTGTTTGCGACTGGCTGAGAGGGAAGATCTCGTGCTGTGTCCTCACCACGGGCACAGGCGCAAGGAAGCCTCCAGGAGGTGCAGAATTCCTCGATTGCTTTGATTTGGTGATGGTTTCACAGGTGTTTGCTCAGGTCAATCCTCACCAAAGTGTACACATGAAATGTGTGCAGCTCTCTGAGTATCAATTATACCTCAAAAAAGCTGAAACACTTTTACACTTGAAATAATCGAAGTGACATTTCAATCTAAAGGTTTACAAAGCTGTCACCTACATAGCTGATTTTTCCATGAGAGTCTCATTTACAAGAGAAACACAATTATGAAGTCAGTACCCTGTAATTTTAAAGGGTAACGGAAGAAGCGTGAGGTTGTTAGGGCGGTGCTTACACTCTCCCCCATGTTTATTCCGTGGTTAACCACATGGCAGATCGGCAGTGATTCAGGAAGATGAATTATCTTCAACACGCAGAAGTTCAGTCCTCTGGCATGTACGAATCCTGGTGTGGTTTTTACACAACGTTCTGCTGGGGATGCTTGGGGAGAAGCTGTGGTAACAGGATCGGGATTCGTTCATGCTTCATTCATCCAGGAGGCCTGCGACTGTCCGGCTCAGTGTGGGCTGAGCCTCCAGTGCCGAGCACCAGACACTCCACCCTCCTGAGGCACTTGTGCGGATGCAGGTGAGACGCCCAGACCAGGAGGGTGTGCGTGGGGGGTCGGGCTCCAGAGAACTTAAGATGAGATTCAACTGTGTGGACGGGGCTGGTAGAGGTGGTGGTTCCCGGGCTGGGGAGGTGTAAAGACAAATCCCGGTGACCCTGGCCCTAAAAAGCTGCCATGTACATTTTGTAGAAGACTGTCCATGAAAACAGACTCTCAGAAGCAAAGAGGTGCCTCGACAGGCCCCCCGTCCCGTGTGCAATGCCAGGTCTTACTCTCTCCGTCCCCGAAGGGAGCGTCCTCCTCACCTCTCTGGTCCTCCTTCCCTTGCCTTGTTTGCAATTGTCCACGGAATTCCTGCAGCCCCAAACAGTCTTTCTGATGTGGACTATTTTGAGCTCAACATAAATGAATTAACTAGCAGCATGTGTTTTTCCTGCTTCATCCACTCACACACTGTCTGAGACCCATTCATGTCTCCGGAGGTCCCTCACTCGCCTTGTGCTGGCTGACTCCACTGAGGGACTTGCTGGGACGTCCTCATCCATCTGTGGTGAACGAGAATTTGGATCTCTTCCCACTTGGGTTTGTGCGAACAGTGACACCAGGTGCATCTGAAATACACCACGTGCCCAGGTGCACGCGGGGCGTGTGCAGCTCCCTGACCCCTCTGCAGTGGGAGAGCACTGAGGCCCAGGGTGAAGTGGGGGGGTGTGGGTGTGGGGCCAGGCTGGGGTCGGGGAGAGGACACTGGACTCTGGGCTTTATCTGAGGGCCGAGCAGCAGGTGTCGTGGCAGATCAGATCTGGTGTTGAACTGGCCCGATTGTCCCATAGAACTGATGTTCATGGTTTCTCTGAATAACATAGAAATGGATCCTTGTGGTCTTGAAACTTGAGAACTTGACATTTGTCTTGAGTTCCTTTCTCAGGAAACTGACCATCAGGCCTCCCGGGTAGTGTGAAGGAAGAGAGACTCACCAGATCACGGCATCTGGACAGTGAGACGCCAAACCCCTCACCCATCATGAGTGCCTGACCAGCCACCTGCCTCCTCCTGACCAACTCCTCTTCCTCACTCTCCCTAATTCCTGTTTTCCTTACACACAGTCACACTTCTTCCCTGCTATACAGTCAGTCAGGAAGATGGATTTGAAGCTGACCTCCCATCTCCAGGCCTGCAGCTCCTGATGCATGCCTTCCTCATTGGCAGTAAGCGTCGTCTCAGTGACAGGCTTTCTGTGTGGTGAGCAGCGGGATCTGGACCAAACCCCTGTGTTTCGGGAACAGGGAGAGCAGCCTCAGCAGGCCCCTGGCCCTGAGTGCAGTCATGACCACCAGGGACCCATACCAGCCCCCGGAGGTGAGTGTGGACAAGAAGAAACGGCTCCTGAGGACCCAGCCAGGAGAATTCCTGCAACGTCACGGAGAATCACGGCTACCTGGCCCACACCCCCCTTGAAGGGCAGCTGCAACATGCATCTCATTTGTCTTTCTTTCCTGGACATCTTCAAATCTCCTTCACCACAACCTTGTGATCGTGAGTTTCCGTCAAGATGTGCATTGTTTTACTATATTGCTTTAATTTACTCTGCTGGCTATCTGGAGAAATGCAGCCTCATCAGCAGAAATTATTTCCTCCCTGCCGCTTTTTAAATCTGTTATTTCCTATAGCCAGGTACTGAGCCCTTCAATTGAGGTCTAAACCCTCCACTCTCTCCCTCCGGGATTGCCAAGCCTGTGGTTTCAGTTCCACGCTCCCAGGTCGATTATGTCAACTCAAAGTCCAACGCGCTTATAAAATACTTGTTGTGTTTTTTTCTTAATTTTAGGAGTTTTTTTTAATATGTTTTTGTTTCATGGAGGTGACACCCTCTGTCTTTGAGTTGTGGGAGCCTTCCTCCTTCAGTCTGTGTGTACTGAAGCCAGTGTGTGCTGTACAGCCTCTCAACTGCAGCAGCCCACAGTGAGGTTCAGGTGCTCACGCCATCTCCCCAGAGAGCTCCTCCATTCGCCCCTCCACCCGTAGCCTCTCGAAACCACTGCCCTGCTCCCCGACACGGTACACTGTCTTCTCTAAGATGTCACGTGGTGGCATCCTTCGGCCTGTGCCCACCGAAACTAGCTTCCTTCACCGGGCATGTGGCCTGGGAGACCTGGGGCATTGTGGGTGCTTCTTTCCACTGCAGGTTGGTGCTCCCTATGTGGAAGCATCCGCGTTGGTTCACACCTTCTCCTGCCGGTGGACATTTTGTTTTCTTCCAGTTATTGGCAATGAGGAATGAGGCCTAAACACTTGTGTGCAGGTTTGTGTGTGCACATTTAAGTTTTCTCTTGGGGGAAATTTCAGGAGTGGGGTTGCTGGGTGACGTGGTAAGGATGTGCTTAACTTAATAAGAAACTCCTGGACCACTTTCCAGCATGGTGGGGCCCCTCCCATTCCCATGCAGCTTATGAGGGTCCCAGTTCCTTTGCATCATCATTAGAACCTGGGTCGGCCTGTGGTTTTTGTCTGTTTTTAGCCCTTTTAATAGATTTGCAGAGGTTCTGTTGATTGGCATTTCTCCAGCATCTCTATGACGTTGAGCCTCTTTCTCGGGCAATATGCCCTCCTTATACCTTCTTTGATGAGGCCTCCGTTCCAATATTGGCCCTCTCTTTAATACTGGGGCTTTTACTTTCTTATGGTTAAGTTTTGATGGTTCTTCACATATCCTGCGTGCCAGTAGGCTGTGAGACGTGTGATTCACAAATGTTTATTTCTAGACCATAGTTTGTGTTTCATTCTCTTTGGATTTTTATATTGCTTTATAGAATTATAATTTTAAATGTATGATTAAGTTTAATTTGTCAATCTTTTATGAATCATGCTTTTGGTGTCATGTCTAAGAACTTTTCGCCTAACCCCAGGCCGTACGAATTTTCCCCTGTGTTTTTGTCTAAGGGTTTGATAGCGTTATGTTCTCCATTTAGGCCTGTGATAAATGTTGAGTAACATTTTGTGTCCGCCATGGCCATACCTTTCTCCGTCTCTCACAGTATCATGGGCGTTTGCAGCTCCCAGTGCCCCGTGCTGCTCCTGTCTTCTTGGTCTGCTCCTCCTGTCATACCTTTCTCCGTCTCTCACGGTATCGTGGGCATTTGCAGCTCCCAGTGCCCCGTGCTGCTCCCGTCTTCTTGGTCTGCTCCTCCTGTCATACCTTTCTCCGTCTCTCACAGTATCGTGGGCATTTGCAGCTCCCAGTGCCCCGTGCTGTTCCCGTCTTCTTGGTCTGCTCCTCCTGTCATACCTTTCTCCATCTCTCACGGTATCGTGGGCATTTGCAGCTCCCAGGGCCCCGTGCTGTTCCCGTCTTCTTGGTCCGCTCTTCCTGTGAGTCTCAGGGCATGTCTTAGTGCTCACGCTGTCCTGGTCCATCGGGGGGTCCCGTGAGCTTGTCCGTGTGGGAAGGTCGGGACTGTGATGTTGACGGGATGCCTTGTGAGTTGGGGGAGGTGCTGATGGGGGTTTCCATGTGGGAGAGAGAGGTGTTTGGTTTTCCAGAGGGAGCAGACTTGAGAGGGGACAAACTTGAGAAATGCCACCAATGAAAGGCCCAGGCAGAGCAGGTCTTGGGGCCGCCCAGCCCTGTGGGAGCCAAACGTGGATGTGTCAGTGGCCATGTCAGGAGGTAAACCCTCAACCAAGGGCCTCTGGGTGTCCAAGGCCAAGTCTTGTTCAAGAGGTGCGTTCAGCTGAGCCAACCATGGCAGAAATGCATAAGGGAGATCCCACAGTTCCTCCGTTTAAATCCCCTGCTAATCCCACCCGCCTCAGAGAAGGAGCCAAGTCCTCACAGCAGCCTGCAACCCCCGCCTGACTCGGCCTCCTCTCGGGTCTGATTCTCTGTACCCGTCTACACCTCTCTGTCTCTTCTCCCACCAGAGAGGATATCCTGCACGTTCATCCTGGTGGATTCAAACCCATCTTTGCCACACACATAGTCACCAGAATGAGCACGCATAATCTATAAAGAGTCCTCTTGAAAAAGAAAAATGCAGGCCGGGCATGGTGGCTCATGCCTGTAATCCCAGCACTTTGGGAGGCTGAGATGGGAGGATCACCTGAGGTCAGGAGTTTGAGACCAGCCTGGACAACATGGTGAAACCCCATCTCTAGTAAAAATATAAAAATTAGCTAGGCGTGGTGGTGGGCGCCTGTAATCCCAGCTACTCAGGAGGCTAAGGCAGGAAAATCACTTGAACCCAGAAGGTGGAGGCTGCAGTGAGCTGAGATTGTGCCACTGTACTCCAGCCTGGGCAACAGAGTGAGACTGTGTCTCAAACACATAACAATAGGAATAATAAAAGAAAAGTGCAAAAATTCAAACAACTTAACAGAAACTGGGCAAAAGAGCTGAACCGGCCCTCCACAAAAGAGGAAATGTGGAGGAATGACTAATGAAAACATGAAGAGGGGCTCAGCCTAACGGGGAGATATCACGTGACACCCACCAGATGGGCAAAAATCCCACCACCCAATCCATGCAGGTGTTGGGGAGAATGGAGAGAAGCAGGAACAACAGGCACTGCTAAGAATGGTTGTGAAGTATATTTTTGTTATGCTTGTATATGAAAGGATGTGTGTTGTGGGTTATGAGGAAAATTACATTTTTTACCTGGGATGAAATTTTAAAACTTGAAAGCTACTGACCAGAAGCAACCTGCACTTGTGGACAAAAGAAATGCCCAAGAATGTTCCCAGCAAAACGCAGTCCTCAGGGCCCCAACCTGGCCAAACACTCATCCACGGGAAGATGAAGACATTTCCCATGCTCCCCTCAGACAACGAGAGACCATGCAGCAATGAAAATGGACCATGTCAGTGTGGGTGGGTCTCAGGGAGAGAATGGAGACAGGAGATCACGCAGCAATGAAAATGAACCATGTCAGTGTGGGTGGGTCTCAAGGAGAGAATGGAGGACAGAAATAGACATAGAGCAGATGCTCAGAGCCATGCAGTGCAGGAGCAGCCACGCAGGAGAATTTCCTCACATCAAAGTTCAAAACTACAGCCAAGGCAACAGAGCAAGACCCTGCCTCAAAAAGAAAACAAAGTTCAAAAACTAAATGGCTTATTGTTTAGGGATGTACACATACGCGGTGAAAGAAACGTACTATGAAGAAAAGTGTGGGAATAATAAAGACTAAAGCAGGAAGTGGTTCCCTCTGTAGGAGAAGAGAAGGGACTGGGACTCAGGCAGGGCCTCCAGGGAGCATCCAAAGTTATGTCTCTTCAGATTCTATTCCCTAAACCTGGTGGAGGTCCTCTGTGTCCAATGTGTCAATATTCTTTATACCTTACCCATATTGTACAAATACTTTATTTCTATTCAATGTTTAGAAGACAGTTATTAACAAGATGCATTAAATAGCAAGATGGCCAATGAACATCAGGAAGGGAACATCCATGAGGTTCCATCCACGGAACCTCACCATGGATACGCTTGTGATCAAGGGCCTGGTCTCCCCTCAAGACACAGTCAGAGATCAGAGGCCACACCATCCTAGCAGTGGAGCAGGACCAGCTGGGACAGGGTCCTTCTGTGACACCTGCTGCATCACCAGCCTATGTGAATGGATTCAGCTGCCAGAACTCACAGAGTATCAGTATTAGCACCGAAACCTCACAGGAAAAATGGTAAGTTCTAAGTTTCTCCATTAACAGTAACTCTCAGATTAATCTCTGTCATCCATCACTTCTCCATGAAATAACTTTTTACAGCTCTTCATGGGTCTATGTTTCAATTTATATATTATTTTACTAACTGATTGAAAATATATATTGTGTGTGGTGTGTGATTCTGTCAGTCAGGATAATCATAGTTTAATTTCTATTATTATTATTCCAATATCATTTAGTTTTTTTAAGCTTTTCAATTCCTGAGGGTATTAATCAGGGTCTTTCTGTCTCATGAGACAGAAAACAAATCCAAACTGTGTAAGAGAAAAAGGAATGCATTAATCCCGAGGACTGAGAAGCTCCCAGGCTTAACTTGCTTGGGATTCAGCTACATGTACAGTTTCCACGGCGTCCTGAAACTCTCTCTCTCTACTTCCCCAACATCAGCTCCACGTTTAGCTCCATGAACTTCAGACTTAAACAGCATCACTGGCTCCTGACCAGGATTCCAGCTCCACAAACCTCAAACTAGAACACCAGCCTGGCTTCTCCACAGGTCTCCAGCTCCAAAACCTAAGACATCAGTGGCAGTACCTACTCCTCCCAGGGGGCTCCAGCTCTGAGACCCTCAGACTTGAACCGCAGCACCAGCTGTTCCCCAGATCTCCAGCTCCATGACCCTCAGACTTAAACAACAGCAGCACCAGCTCATCCGTGGGTCTATATCTCCACGACCCTCAAGCTAGGAAAACATCAGCTCCTCCCCGGGTCTCCAACCGCACGACCCTCCAACTAGAAACACACCAGCTCCTCCCTCAGTCTCCAGCTCCACAAGCCTCCCACTAGAACAGCAACACCAGCTCCTCCGCGGGTCTCCAGCTTTACAACCTAAGACATTAGTGGCAGCACCGGCTCCTCCTGGGGGCTCAAGCTCCAAGACCCTCAGACTTGAACCGCAGCACTGGCTCTTCCCTGGATCTCCAACTCGACGATCTTCAGACTTAAACAACAGAAGAACCAGCTCCTCCCTGGGTTTCCAGCTCCACGACCCTCAACTGGAACATCAGCTCCTTCCTGGGTCTCCACCACAACAACCCTCAACTAGAAACACAGCAGCTCCTCCCCGGGTCTCCAGCACCACGACCCTCAACTAGAAACACACCAGCTCCTCCCCAGGTCTCCAGCTCCACGACCCTCAACTAGAAACACGCCAGCTCCTCCCTGGGTCTCCAGCTCCACGACCCTCAACTAGAACAACACCGCTCCATGCTGTATCTCCAGATCCACGACCCTCAACTAGAAAGACACCAGTTCCTCCCCTGGTCTCCAGCTCCATGACCCTCAACTAGAAACACAGCAGCTCCTCTCCGGGTCTCTAGCTCCATGACCCTCAACTAGAACAACACCACTCCATGCTGTATCTCCAGATCCACGACCCTCAACTAGAAACACCAACACCGGCTCCTCTGCAGGTCTCTAACTTCTCCCATAGATTCCAGCTCCAGGACCCTCAGATTTGAACCACAGGACAACCTCCTCCCTGGATCTCCAGCTGCACGACTGTCAAACTAGAACATCAGCTCCTCCCAGGGTCTCCAGCCGCACGACTCTCAGACTAGAACATCAGCTCCTCCCAGGGTCTCCAGCCGCACGACTCTCAGACTAGAACATCAGCTCCTCCCAGGGTCTCCAGCTGCACGACTCTCAGACTAGAACATCAGCTCCTCCCAGGGTCTCCAGCTGCACGACTCTCAGACTAGAACATCAGCTCCTCCCAGGGTCTCCAGCTGCATGACACTCAAACTATAAAGACAACAGCTCCTCCCTGGGTCTCCAGCTCTACAACTGTCAAACTAGAACACCATCAGCTCCTCTCCGGGTCTCCAGCTCCACGGCTCTCAAATTGAAACAACATCAGCTTCTCCCTGGGTCTCCAGCTGCACAATCCTCCAACTAGAAAAAACACCAGCTCCTCCCCTGGTCTCCAGCTCCACGACCCTCAATCTGGAACATCAGCTCCTCCTCAGGTCTCCAACTACATGACCCTCAAACTAGAAAAACAGCAGCAAACTAAAAAAAAACTCCCCAGGTTTTTCTAGTTTGATGGTCGTGCAGCTGGACACCCGGGAAGGAGCTGATTTTAATCTAGTTTGAGCATCGTGGAGCTGGACACCCAGGGAGGAGCTGGTGTTTTTCTAGTTTGAGCGTCATGGAGCTGGACACCCAGGGAGGAGCTGGTGTTTTTCTAGTTTGAGCGTCGTGGAGCTGGACACCCAGGGAGGAGCTGGTGTTTTTCTAGTTTGAGGGTCGTGGAGCTGGACACCCTTGGGGGTCAGTGTTTTTCTAGTTTGAGGTCATTTGAGGGTCAGCTGCACGACCCTCAAACTAGAAAAACACTAGCTCCTCCCCTGGGTATCCAGCTCCACAAACCTCACATGAGAAAAACACCAGCTCCTCCCCGGATCTCCGGCTCCACAACCCACAAACTAGAACACCAGCAGCTCCTCCCCGGGTTTCCAGCGACACGACCCTCAAACTAGGAAAACATCAGCTCCTCCCCATGTCTCCAGCTCCATGACCCTCTGATCAGAAAAACATGAACTCCTACCTGGGTCTCCAGCTTCAGGAGCCTCAAACTAGAACATCAGCTTATCCCCGGGTCTCCAGCTCCACGACCCTCAGACTTAAACAAGAGCAGCACCAGCTCCTCCCTGTGTCTCCAGCTCCAGGACCTTTTGATCAGAAAACATGAGCTGCTACCTGAGTCTCCAGATGCAGGAGCCTCAAACTAGAACAACATCAGCTCCTCTCCAGGTCTCCAGTTGCAAAACCCTCAAACTACAACATCAGCTCCTCCCCGGGTCTCCAGCTGCATGACCCTCAAACAGGAACATCAGCTCCTCCCCGGGTCTCCAGCTGCACAACTCGCAAACTAGAACATCAGCCCCACTCCGGGTCTCCAGCTGTATGACACTCATACAAGAAAGAGGCAAGCTCCTCCCAGGTTCTACAGCATGACCCTCCAATTAAAAAACACCTGCTCCCCCTGGGATATCCAGCTGCATGACCCGGAAACTGTAACATCAGCTCCCCCCCCAGGTCTCCAGCTGCACCACCCTCTAACTGCAATATCAGCTCCCCCCCAGGTCTCCAGCTGCACGGCCCTCAAACTGGAACATCAGATTCCTGGCCCTCAAACTGGAACATCAGCTCCCCCGAGGTCTCCAGCTGCATGACCCTCAAACTAGAACATCAGCTCCCCCCAGAGTCTCCAGCTGCAAGGCCCTCAAACTGGAACATCAGCTCCCTGCTGGGTCTCCAGCTGGAAGGCCCTCAAACTGGATCATCAGCTCCCCCCAGGGTCTCCAGCTTCACAGCCCTAAAACCGAAACATCAGCTCCCCCCGGGTCTCCAGCTTCACAGCCCTAAAACCGAAACATCAGCTCCCCCCGGGTCTCCAGCTGCACGGCCCTCAAACTGGAACATCAGCTCCCCAGCCCTCAAACTGGAACATCAGCTCCCCCCAGGGTCTCCAGCTGCATGACCCCCAAACTAGAACATCAGCTCCCTCCAGGTCTCCAGCTGCAAGGCCCTCAAACGGCAACATCAGCTCCCACCCCGGGTCTCCAGCTGCACGACCCTCAAACCGGAACATCAACTCCCCCCAGGGTCTCCAGCTGCATGGCCCTCAAGCTGCAACATCAGCTCCCCGCCGGTCTCCAGCTGCACTGCCCTCATACTGGATCATCAGCTTCCTGGCCCTCAAACTGGAACATCAGCTCCCCAACCCTCAAACTGGAATATCAGCTCCCCCCAGGGTCTCCAGCTGCATGACCCTCAAACTGGAACATCAGCTCCCCCCCGGTCTCCAGCTGCACGGCCCTCAAACTGGATCATCAGCCTCCCAGCCCTCAAACTGGAACATCAGCTCCCCAGCCCTCAAACTGGAACATCAGCTCCCCCGAGGGTCTCCAGCTGCATGACCCTCAAACTAGAACATCAGCTCCTCCCCAGGGTATCCAGCTGCATGACCCTCAAACTGGATCATCAGCTCCCCAGCCCTCAAACGGGAACATCAGCTCTCCCTAGGGTCTCCAGCTGCATGACCCTCAAACTAGAACATCAGCTCCTCCCCAGGGTCTCCAGCTGCATGACCCTCAAACTGGATCATCAGCTCCCCAGCCCTCAAACTGGAACATCAGATCCCCAATCCTCAAACGGGAACATCAGCTCTCCCTAGGGTCTCCAGCTGCATGACCCTCAAACTAGAACATCAGCTCCTCCCAGGGTCTCCAGCTGCACGGCCCTCAAACTGGAATATCGGCTCCTCCCAGGGTCTCCAGCTGCATGACCCTCAAACTAGAACATCAGCTCCTCCCCAGGGTCTCCAGCTGCATGACCCTCAAACTGGATCATCAGCTCCCCAGCCCTCAAACTGGAACATCAGATCCCCAATCCTCAAACGGGAACATCAGCTCTCCCTAGGGTCTCCAGCTGCATGACCCTCAAACTAGAACATCAGCTCCTCCCAGGGTCTCCAGCTGCACGGCCCTCAAACTGGAATATCGGCTCCTCCCAGGGTCTCCAGCTGCATGACCCTCAAACTGGAACATCAGCTCCCCTGAGGGTCTCCAGCTGCACGGCCCTCAAACCAGATCATCAGCTTCCCAGCCCTCAAACAGGAACATCAGCTCCCCCGAGGGTCTCCAGCTGCACGGCCCTCAAACTGGAACATCAGCTCCCCCTCAGGGTCTCCAGCTGCATGACCCTCAAACTAGAACATCAGCTCCTCCCCAGGGTCTCCAGCTGCATGACCCTCAAACTGGATCATCAGCTCCCCAGCCCTCAAACTGGAACATCAGATCCCCAATCCTCAAACGGGAACATCAGCTCTCCCTAGGGTCTCCAGCTGCATGACCCTCAAACTAGAACATCAGCTCCTCCCAGGGTCTCCAGCTTCACGGCCCTCAAACTGGATCATCAGCTTCCCGGCTCTCAAACTGGAACATCAGCTCCCCAGCCCTCAAACTGGAACATCAGCTCTCCCCCGGGTCTCCAGCTGCAGGACCCTCAAACTAGAACATCAGCTCTCCCCAGGGTCTCCAGCTGCACGGCCCTCAAATTGGAACATCAGCTCCCCCCGCGGGTCTCCAGCTGCACGGCCCTCAAACTGGAACATCAGCTCCCCCCTGCGTCTTCAGCTGCACGGCCCTCTAACTGGAACATCAGCTCCCCACCGCGCCTCCAGCTACACGGCCCTCAAACTGGAACATCAGCTTCCTGGAACATCAGCTCCCCCGCCGGGTCTCCAGCTGCACGGCCCTCTAACTGGAACATCAGCTTCCTGGAACATCAGCTCCTCTCCAGTGGCAGGACACTAATACTAGAAAAACGCCAGCTCCTCCCGGGTTCTACAGCTGTGCGACCCTCAAACAAAAGAAACACCAGCTCCTCTCTGGGTCTGCAGCTGCAGGAACCTCAAACTAGGACACCTCTCCCCCTGGATCTCCAGCTCCACGACCCTCACAGAGGAACAGCCACATCAGCTCCTTCATTGCCTTCAGCTCCACAATCTAAGACATCAGTGGCAGCACCAGCTCCTCCGTGGACGTCCAGCTCAACGACTCTCAGACTTAAAAGGCAGCATCGGCCCCTCCCCAAGGCTCCAGCTCCACCACCCTCAGGTTTGAACAGCGGAATCACTAGCTGCCGTCCAAGTCTTCCGCCCCACAACCCTCCCTGAACAATCCCTTCTCATGAAATTCAGCAGTCAAGAAAACTGCAGCAGAAGTAAATGAATAAATGTTTTGTTTTCAAATCGATGTCTCTTACGTTCATGAGTTAACTTTTCTACTTTCCATTAACCTTGCAATCTACTTTTGTCCAATGTGAGATAGAAACACACCATTTGAAATGACGTTTAAAAACTTAGTAATATTTTTAATATAATCATCACACAGCTGTAGACACGATCTTATTTCTCTCTGCCTGTGCAGAAGGCTTATGAAAATTCAAACTATGAATTTACTTTGTTGAGATTCCCAGAATACACATTAATCCCAACTGTTACTCCCTTCCTTAAAATCTTTTAACACATTCCCATCACCCGAGCATAAATGGCAGCTCCCATCCACAGCCCACAGTGCCCAGCACGGCCCTGCCCTCTGCCCTGGTCTATGGTCTCCCCTCTTAAATGCCAGCTCCATCCACAGCCCACAGTGCCCTCATGGCCCTGCCCTCTGCCCTGGTCTATGGTCTCCACTCTGGTGCCCAGCCCGGCCCTCCCCTCCCCTCTGCCCTGGTCTATGGTCTCCACTCTGGTGCCCAGCCAGGTCCTCCTCTCCCCTCTGCCCTGGTCTATGGTCCCCCCTCTTAAATGCCAGCACCATCCAAAGCCCACAGTGCCCAACACGGCCCTGCCCTCTACTCTGGCCTAAGGTCTCTCCCCTCTGCCGGACAGGCCTCTGTCAGTTCTTCAAACCACACAGGCTCAGGCCTGACTCCAGCCTTTCCCCTGCTGTGCCGTCTGCCTGGGGTGCCTTTCCCGGGCTCCGCATCCTCAGCTCGCTCAGCTCCAGCCTGCTGGTCGCCCCTCAGGTGGAAGAGCACCCGGTGTCCTCTCGCCCCGCCGGCCTTTGCACAGGCTCTTCTCTGTGCCAGCCACACACCCCCTCTCACCACTGGGGTTTACTCTCTAAATACCATTCATCCTTGGAGTCTCCACTGACATATCGCTCCCCGCCCACCCCCCTCCCTTGGACTTAGCCTTGGTCAGGTTGCCAACCCCCGTCTCCTGACTCCGGGAAGCTAGATGCTCTCCTACCACTCGGAACTTCCCAGGAAGCTAGATGCTCTCCTAGCTCTCGGAACTTCCCAGGAAGCTAGATGCTCTCCTAGCTCTCGGAACTTGCCCATCGCCACATTCACACACCCGTGGTTACCGGGTTAGGTTGGTGCAGAAGTCATCGCGGTTTTTGCCGTTACTATTAATGAACCGCAGCACCGGCTCCTCCCCGTTTCTTTTTTTGCCATTACTTTTCATGACTGCTGCACCAACCTATTAGAATCATTTATATTTATCCATCCAACATCTGCCTTTCCCTCTAGAAAGGAAGCTCCATGAGAGTAGAGGCCAGATCTACTCAAATCACTCCACCTTCCCACACATTGTCAATAATCATTTACCAACTGACTGATAGAGAAATGCCTTCCCTGTTGCTGGGATGAGGCACACGACACGCCCCTTTGAAAGTCACTGTCATGGACCGTTGGCATTTGCTCTTCACTCCTGCACCCGTGGCGTGGCTGGGCTCAGGCTGATCTAGTCTGGCCTTGACTCCAGGCTGAGGATGGGAACCATGCCTGCTCCACACGCCTCTCATCCCACAGCCAGAGCCACCCTCCCCTGGGGCTCGCACATCTCGTGGGGAAAATCAAGAGCCTTAGAGGGCAGGCCTGGCAGTGCCCACACATTCCAGGCTTCTGCTTGTGCCATGTCTGTGAAAATCTCATTGGCAGAAGCAAGTCACCCAGTCTCGAGCAGCACCTATGGGATGGATAAGTCCATCCACCCTCCCTCGGGCCCTAGGAAGGCTGGGGCTGTGTCATACTCTTGCGGGGGAAGTGAAAAATTGAGGCCCAACATTAAATCACCCACGGCAAGAAATGTCAACCTCTGTGTCTCCACGCTGGAATCCTTTGCCAGTGGGTTCACCTGAGCTGACTTTGCAATGGTGTCTGCAGGTTTAGGCCAATGCTGGTCCCCGTGGAGGACAGAGAAGCCTCAATCGGCCTCCGTCTGTTGGGAAGAACAAGATATTAGCTTGGCGCAAAACAACCGCAAGCCCCAGGTGTCCCACGCCCCATGAGACAGGAGAGGAGCAGAGAACTGTGGAAGCTCAGGGAAGCTTGCATCCCCAGCCCCTCCCCTGCGTCCCCAGCCCCTCCCCTGCATGCCCCCATCTCTGCTTGCTTGCTTTCTCTTTCTTTTTTTCTTTCTTTCTTTTTTCTTTCTTTCTTCTTTTTTTTCTTCTCTTTCTTTTTTTTCTGAGACAGGGTCTGGCTCTGTCACCCAGGCTGGAGTGCAATGGTGTAATCTTGGCTCACTTCAACCTTCACCTTCTGGGATCCAGCAATCCTTCCTCCTCAGCCTCCCCAGTGGCTGGGACTACAGGCACATGCCACCACACCCAGCTAAACTTTTTTTTTTTTTTTTGGAGACAGGATTTTGCCACGTTGCCCTGGCTGGTCTCAAGCAATCCTCCCACCTCAGCCTCCCAAAGTGTTGGGATGACAGGCATAAGCCACCAAGTCCAGTCTGCTTTATTTTTCTTCATAGTACTTGGAACCTCCTTTTTTTTTTTTTTTTTTTTTTTTGTGGACGGATTCTCACTCTGTTGCCCAGGCTGGAGTGCAGTGGTGTGATCTCGGCTCACTGCAACCTCCACCACCTCCCAGGTTCAAGCGATTCTCCTGCCTCAGCCTCCTGAGTACCTGGAACTACAGGCACCTGCCACCACCTCCGGCTAACCTTGATCTCAGAGACTTCTGGCCTCCAGAACTGTGAGACAATAGGTTTCTGTTGTTGAAGCCCCAGTCTCTGGAGCACTGTTAAGTAGCCCCGGGAAGCTGGCACAGAACCCGGCCACCCCTCCTGGGCAAGCTGCTTTCTACCAGGCTCTGGGGGTGGCGGGTGGCCTTTCACTGGTCTCCTCCAGCGCTTGCCCCTGTTCTGACTTGTATTTTGGGAGTGTCTTTCTTCTTCCTAGTGTTGACAGCCTCACACACGTGGCGTTGTACTGGCACCCGAGAACCAGCACTCACGTATGCAGCACTTTCAGAAATTAGTTATATTTATGCATGGTCATGGTCATACTCATACATCTAATTGGACTTCTTTTTTAAGAAAGTGAAACAAAGCCTGAATTCTCCATTGTTGTGTAGGCCTCAGTTCCCGGAGCTGTCCTGTAAGTTCCTTGAAAAAAGGTGCTTTCAACCTGTATGTGGTACCTCTTGGCAGCTGCCTCATTGGCTGGACCCTGGACAGCTCTGAAGTCAGAGGAGTGGGGCTTCAGTACGTTGCACTGGGGTGAAATCCTGGCCATCATCCACGAGGAAAGACCAATGCAGCAGAACCATCCCTGAAGCAGTGAAACGCGGTCAGGAACCGTCAGTCAGTGAGCCATCCCTTTGGAAGTTCTTCACGGGACCATACATCTTAGAATTCTTAACACATAGTGACATGCCACGAGGTGGCATTCCCGTCCTGTTCCTACCAATGTACATTCATATTCAAAGTAGAAACAGAAACCATCTTCCACATAACAAAGTCCTGAAGATCGTCACAACTCTTAAGCCATGTGGTTCCTCAGCACCGCATGAGCTGACCCATCCCAGCTCGTGATCACGCGGACGGGCTAAGACATAACTGAAGAAGCGTCGGTATTTTATATGTATCTAATTTCATTTTTTAAAGACATTTTTAGGGGATAGAAACATTACAGAACAAATTTTAATGTACCATGAAAGTATAAATATTAGAAAAGGAAACTAATGCATGTGAACAAGGACTCCATGAAAAGTACGCAGTGGTTGAAGCTGCACGACTCTAGGGACAAAAGTTTGCATAAATATCCAAGCGAGTTTCGTTCCTGAGCATTAGGACCGAACATACAAGCAAGCTGAGGCAGGTCTGCGGCCAGAGCCCTATGGAGTCCTCACTGCGAAGGCCCTGCTCAGGGAGCTTCTATTCCTGGTTGAGGAGGGGAGACATGCCACCTGCTTCTCCCAGGTAGTCCCTGACCACAGACTCCGGAAAGAACAATGGTGCAGAACACAAGAAGCAGTGACCAGGCAGAGGGTGCACCTGCGTCCCCTCCTGCCTCCCTCCTGCATCCCCTGCCCGCATTGAGGCAGCAGGGTCCAAAAGCGCTCAGGGGCCACGTGCAGGACACTCCAGGAAGGACCACACAGTCTGAGCTTGGGGCCACAGAGAGAGGACTTAAGGGGAAGGGCAGACACCCCACCCTCCCCACACCCTTCCCTCTGCCCCCTGCCCTCGGCAATCACCTGGGTCTGTGGCAGCAACTGTGCCAACAATGGCAGAGGGCAGGACCCAGCCCCACAGGGGAACCTCCTCTCCATGTGGGGCTCCAGCAAGATGGGGCCAGACCCACTGCTTCTTTCTCCCTCCGTCTGCCCAGCACTTGGCCCAGGCCTGGCTCAGCTGTGGGAGTGCACAGCTCAGGAGGTAACTAAATCCCCGGCTTTCTAGCTCAAGAACAAAAATGAGGGGTCCCAGGGAGAGAGGACATTTGAGGGAGATTCGAGAGAGGGAGAGTCTTGGTAAGTGGCGTGTGGCCTCCTGGGCTGCCCTGAGTTGCTCACATGTATTTGAGCTCATGAACAGACCTCAGCCTAGACCCTGGCGGTGCACACTCAGGGCAGTTGCAAACAGTACTGAAGGCTTTCAGAAAGGAACTGGCTGTGGAAGCCTAGACCACAAAATGTTATTGAAACTTGCAGCCTGAATTTAATCAGGTTAATGCTCACTAAAACAAACACTAAATCAACATTCTTCACTGGAATGAAATAAGATGCAGAGTCTCCTAACATAATATTCATGGTGTCCAGAATGCAATTCAACCTTACTAGGATATGAAGAACCAGGAAAATAACTCACACAGGAGCCAGCCAGCCCATGCCCATGCTAAGATGACTGAGCTGTGTGATCTGCTGACAGAAACATGAAAATCACTCCGCCCATAGTCACAAACACTCTTGAATCCAATGGGAACAGAGAAAATCTCACGAAGGAACTAGAAGATGTAAATACAAAACAAATGGACATCTTAGAATGGAGGGGCAATATTAAAAGAAAGATCCTCACTGGATGGGACTTACAGCAGAAGGTAAAGAAATATCAGAATGGAACAAAGAGTCTGTGGATTTGAATATAGCTAAATGGAAATTATCCAATCTTAACAACAGAGAAAAACATGAGAAAGGAATGTTTTAAATGAGAATATTTTCTCGTGGAGACTCAGTGAGCAGACCTAGCTCATAACTCTCCTGTCACCGGAGGGGCAGGTGAAGGAGACCTACATGAAGATGGATTCACAAATTCCAACTAGCAAATATGGGTTCCAGGCAAAGTGTGAAAAGTTAACGATGTACATTTTATTTCCTGGACAGCGATGCACTGTGTAAAATTAAATCACCCCAAATAGAATGATAGAGATAGAATGAAAATCAAAAGATGAAAAGTGAAGCAAACACCATGCAAACCCTCATCGAAGACAGCAGGATAAGCCACGTTAGTATCAGGCAAAGTAGGCTTTGCAGCAAACAAAATCACCAGGGATAAAGAGAAGAAATAAATAATGACAAAAGGGTCAAGAAAACAACAGTCCTACACGTGAATTCACCAAGTGCCAGAACTCTAAAACACTTGAAACAAAAATTTTAAAAACCCAAAATAGAAATGGACAAAAGTCCACAGTCAGGAATGGTAACACTGTTCTATTAATAGAGATTATACTAAAAAGATAGAAAGTTCTCAATAATGTAGGTTTCCACTTTTTAAAAGGTAGAAAAAGGAAACCAAAAAGAATCAAAACCAAGCAGGAGTAGGGAAATAATAAAGGTAAGATCAAAAACAACAAAATTATTTTAAAATACAATAGAGAAATGAATGACACCAAACCCAATTCTTTGAATAAATTTGAATAAAATTGATGAACTTCTAACACTACCATTGAATAAAAAAAGGAGGGGAGGGAGACACAGTTTACCAACATTGGAAAAGAAAGATGGGTCATTGCTGCAGACACTGCAGGCACTAAAGGATAAACAGGGAATAACATGACAACTCCACACACATGAACTCAACACTCAGATAAAGTGGATGGATTCTTCAGAAAACAAACTCACCGCATGTGAGAGCAATGTCCTCAGTACTGAGAGGCAAATTTCCATTGCGGATTTTCTGGGGCAGCTGCAGGGCAGCCAGGCCCTGACCTGCCTCTCTCTGGAACGCGGGGCCTGGCAGCCTCGCCAAGCTCAGCTGCGCACAAACTTTCCTGTCGGCAGGAGGTTCAGCTTGACTTTCTGAGAATCAGGGAATCGGGAGTTCCTAAAACAATTTCCCACCCGTAACCCTGCAATAGGATCTAATATTCTCAGGATCCCTTTTCAAGGTGGCTGAAAAGTCTTGTGAAAGTGCAGACATCCTGCCCACCAGGCCGGAGCGGTCTTTTCAGCTGTGATTCGCATCCGGCCCCTTGTCTCAGCTCATCCGCTCCATGCGGGCTGGAAGGCAGGACGCAGCACTGCTGGGTTCGAGAGGAGCAAGACACTAGCCGTCTCTGGGGATGCGAAAGGCGGAGCTCTGGGTGGGACCCATGGGTGTCCCCTGACGGGGCATGAAGCCCAGGGCATGGAAGGAGGGGAGCCCCGCAGAAGGATGGAGGGGTGCAGGGCACCCCACGCCCCCCAGAGAGGCCTGCAGCTGCCTGTAACGACACGCAGTGTGTCCTGCAGATGTGCGGAGTCTGCCCGGGCTGGCAGGGGCTAGGCACGTCCCACGCGCACCCCCAGATGCTCTCCTGTCGGTTGCTGGTCCAGGATTTGATCAAAACAAACAGAAAACTGCACTGCAACAGGGACGATGGCTGCATCCCTGGAGAGCCTCCCCGGCCACCTCGGGCTGGGCCACGAAGACCCCCCAGGCCTGCCCGACCCCACCGCAGGCTCCAGGCGGGATCCCTGAGACTCCACTCGCTGCACAGGCCGCGGCTCCCCCTTCTCTGTGGAGCCTCTGAGATCTACTCACCTAGCAGTGTAGAGTCCTCTCTCCATCCATCGCCCCGGGGACCAGGTCGGGCAGTCCTGGCCGGGGTCTGCGTGGCCCAGCCCGAGGCGGTGAGGGAGGCTCCCCCGACATGCAGCCGTCATCCCTGTTTCAAAACGGTGTTCTGTTTGTTTTGCTTTAATCAATCTTAGTCCAACTACTGACGGGAATGTTGTAGACGTGTTAGAAGCAGAGCCTGACTGAGGCTAAGACGGCTTTTCACTCCCCCCAAAACTCCCCCCAACACTGCGATTCTGAGGTTAAAATTAGGTAGAAAAGGTTCTACTGCTCCATGACGATCTCAGAAGAGGAAGGTCACGCTAATGCAATGTTGGCAGGAGAGTTGGAATGATTTAGATGAGAAAGCTACGTAAATGAAAAATATTTCACCAAGGGCTCAGTGTAAGAAACATGGAAATGGAAGGGCCGGGCGCAGTGGCTCATGCCTATTAATCTCAGCACTTTGGGAGGCTGAGGCGGGCGGATCACGAGGTCAGGGATCAAGTCCATCCCGGCTAACACGGTGAAACCCCGTTTCTACTAAAAATACAAAAACTTAGCCGGGCGTGGTGGCGGGCACCTGTAACCCTGGCTACTGGGGAGGCTGAGGCGGGAGAATGGCTTGAACCCGGGAGGCCGAGCTTGCAGTGAGCTGAGATCGCGCCCCTGCCCTCCAGCCTGGGCGACAGTGCGAGACTCCGTCTCAAAAAAATAAATAAACAAATAAAAAAGAAAGATGGAAATGGGCCGTAACCAGCAGTGTGGGAGCCATGAAGAGCAGAACTGAAAACCACCCACTTCTTATGCATTCCTCACTTTCAGCAGAAGTTTTTGAAATCATCGTTTCTCAACACCCCGGCGGCTCTTCCTCTCCACCGCATCTCCCCGCACAGCCCTTCGCAGAGGCCGAGTTCTCTTCGGTGACACCATCCCAAACCTGGAGCTCGGAGCAGGGCGGTGGCGGCTGTGACCTCTGAAAACACAGCACCCGCCCCGACTCTCCACGGAATGACCCCTGTCCCACCATTGCCATCGCTGGGAAGCTGTTGGTCAGCAGCATGAAGACGTCAGTCTAGCATTCCATTGCCTCGTTCACACCCAAAGTCACCTCGATGTGGGGCACGGGCGTGGAGCTGGGATTATCCACTCCAGCACGACCTCTGCATGGCATCCAAGGACAAAATCCCAAAAGTAGAAAACACCAGATATTAAGCACAAAAGTCAACCATATGCAAGAAGCTGCTAGTAATTTCCACCCACTAGAGCACCAGCGACACGGAAGGCTGCTTTCATTTGCTTTGGTTCTGGCTGGGTTTTGTTCGCTAGGTGGTTGTCCTTATTCATTGACTTCCTCAGCCTCGTGGGCCTCCTGCCCAGGGAAGGGGCCCCAGTGAATTAAGCATCTGTTCACCCCGTACCAACCTTGCATCCACAGTACATTCTCAGCGAGAAACGAACCCAGACTGGAAGCCGCCCTCTCTCTGAGCCGGTCAGGACCTGAAACCCAGCCTCCTGCCTCAGTTTGCTGGGCTGGACGGAGCTCCTGGCATTGTCAGCTTCTGAGGCGACCCCAGCACCTCGGTGTGGACTTTCTGCCTAGTGGCTTGTGTTTTAAAGAGTTTCATTATTATCCACTGGAAGGTTTAAATAGATAACTGTAACTTTTCTTTTACAAATGTAAACATGGGTTTTGAGTATGAAAGAGACTCCATGGAAATGTTGGTTATAGAACTTAAAACACAGGGCCCACGATGATGAAGAAAACACACCCCATGTAGGAACCCGTGGTCAGAGCATCAGAGAACGCGCTGCACCCCCAGGAAACCGTGGTCATAACATGAGGAAACCCACAGCCCCCCACGCCCTTTCTTTCCATTGGCATCAGCACTGGTGTCCAGCGTCTCCGACGAGTCTCACCACACCACAGCCCCACGTCCTTTGGGGACGTCATTTTGTCCCATAATTGTCTACCTGGTTGATATTTTCAAAAGTAGACAATCTTGATTGTGGTCCTATTAACTTGCTACCTGAGTAGGTAACTAGTAAAAACTTATAGTAACTTAAAAACCTGTGTGCATCTTTAGAGTGAAGACATCTTCTATTTATGACGTGTTTGTCATGCGTCTATTTTCATACAGGTATACATACCTTAAAATGTTCTAATTCAAAGAAAAAAACCTACAAACATAGAAGGCATTTAAGATAAACCGAATTCCAAAACGCCTGATGAATACACTGATAGTAATTGAAGGTGAAATTTTCTGCATTAGTGATCATTTATGAAAGATATGAAACTCCCTTCAATACACACACTCCATTTTCAGGTTTTGAAAACTTCAACTTTGTGTTGTATAACTTTGACTTTTGCTTTTCCTTTTTTTGTGATTTCTGCTTTTTTTGTTTAATAAAAAGGTTTAAAATGGTTTTAAATGACCATTCATGGTTCCTCCCCTCGACCAGTCGGTCCTTCCCAAAGCGCAGTTGTGTGTTCCCCCCGTGTGCACTGGCAATCACGCGGTCACACTGTGTGTTCCCCCTGTACGCACTGGCAATCACGCAGCCACACTGTGTGTTCCCCCTGTACGCACTGGCAATCACGCGGTCACACTGTGTGTTCCCCCTGTACGCACTGGCAATCACGCAGCCACACTGTGTGTTCCCCCTGTACGCACTGGCAATCACGCGGCCACACTCTGTGTTCCCCCCGTATGCACTGGCAATCACGCAGCCACACTGTGTGTTCCCCCTGTACGCACTGGCAATCACGCGGTCACACTGTGTGTTCCCCCTGTACGCACTGGCAATCACGCGGTCACACTGTGTGTTCCCCCCGTGTGCACTGGCAATCACGCAGCCACACTGTGTGTTCCCCCCGTGTGCATTGGCAATCACGCGGCCACACTGTGTGTTCCCCCTGTACGCACTGGCAATCACGCGGTCACACTGTGTGTTCCCCCTGTACGCACTGGCAATCACGCGGTCACACTGTGTGTTCCCCCCGTGTGCACTGGCAATCACGCAGCCACACTGTGTGTTCCCCCCGTGTGCACTGGCAATCACGCGGCCACACTGTGTGTTCCCCCTGTACGCACTGGCAATCACGTGGTCACACTGTGTGTTCCCCCTGTACGCACTGGCAATCACGCGGTCACACTGTGTGTTCCCCCTGTACGCACTGGCAATCACGCGGCCACACTGTGTGTTCCCCCCGTGTGCATTGGCAATCACGCAGCCACACTGTGTGTTCCCCCTGTACGCACTGGCAATCACGCGGTCACACTGTGTGTTCCCCCCGTGTGCACTGGCAATCACGCAGCCACACTGTGTGTTCCCCCTGTACGCACTGGCAATCACGCGGTCACACTGTGTGTTCCCCCTGTACGCACTGGCAATCACGTGGTCACACTGTGTGTTCCCCCTGTACGCACTGGCAATCACGCGGTCACACTGTGTGTTCCCCCTGTACGCACTGGCAATCACGCGGCCACACTGTGTGTTCCCCCTGTGCGCACTGGCAATCACGTGGTCACACTGTGTGTTCCCCCCGTGTGCACTGGCAATCACGCGGCCACACTGTGTGTTCCCCCCGTGTGCATTGGCAATCACGCGGTCACACTGTGTGTTCCCCCCGTGTGCATTGGCAATCACGCAGCCACACTGTGTGTTCCCCCTGTACGCACTGGCAATCACGCGGTCACACTGTGTGTTCCCCCCGTGTGCACTGGCAATCACGCGGCCACACTGTGTGTTCCCCCCGTGTGCATTGGCAATCACGCAGCCGCACTGTGTGTTCCCCCTGTACGCACTGGCAATCACGTGGTCACACTGTGTGTTCCCCCCGTGTGCACTGGCAATCACGCAGCCACACTGTGTGTTCCCCCCGTGTGCACTGGCAATCACGCGGCCACACTGTGTGTTCCCCCTGTACGCACTGGCAATCACGCGGCCACACTGTGTGTTCCCCCTGTACGCACTGGCAATCACGCGGTCACACTGTGTGTTCCCCCTGTACGCACTGGCAATCACGCGGTCACACTGTGTGTTCCCCCTGTACGCACTGGCAATCACGCGGTCACACTGTGTGTTCCCCCTGTACGCACTGGCAATCACGCAGCCACACTGTGTGTTCCCCCTGTACGCACTGGCAATCACGCGGTCACACTCTGTGTTCCCCCCGTATGCACTGGCAATCACGCAGCCACACTGTGTGTTCCCCCTGTACGCACTGGCAATCACGCGGTCACACTGTGTGTTCCCCCTGTACGCACTGGCAATCACGCAGCCACACTGTGTGTTCCCCCTGTGCGCACTGGCAATCACGCGGTCACACTCTGTGTTCCCCCCGTATGCACTGGCAATCACGCAGCCACACTGTGTGTTCCCCCCGTACGCACTGGCAATCACGCGGTCACACTGTGTGTTCCCCCTGTACGCACTGGCAATCACGTGGTCACACTGTGTGTTCCCCCTGTACGCACTGGCAATCACGTGGTCACACTGTGTGTTCCCCCCGTGTGCACTGGCAATCACGCGGCCACACTGTGTGTTCCCCCTGTGTGCATTGGCAATCACGCAGCCACACTGTGTGTTCCCCCTGTACGCACTGGCAATCACGCGGTCACACTGTGTGTTCCCCCCGTGTGCACTGGCAATCACGCAGCCACACTGTGTGTTCCCCCTGTACGCACTGGCAATCACGCGGTCACACTGTGTGTTCCCCCTGTACGCACTGGCAATCACGTGGTCACACTGTGTGTTCCCCCTGTACGCACTGGCAATCACGTGGTCACACTGTGTGTTCCCCCCGTGTGCACTGGCAATCACGCGGCCACACTGTGTGTTCCCCCTGTACGCACTGGCAATCACGTGGTCACACTGTGTGTTCCCCCTGTACGCACTGGCAATCACGCGGTCACACTGTGTGTTCCCCCTGTACGCACTGGCAATCACGCGGCCACACTGTGTGTTCCCCCCGTGTGCACTGGCAATCACGCGGCCACACTGTGTGTTCCCCCTGTACGCACTGGCAATCACGTGGTCACACTGTGTGTTCCCCCTGTACGCACTGGCAATCACGCGGTCACACTGTGTGTTCCCCCTGTACGCACTGGCAATCACGCGGCCACACTGTGTGTTCCCCCCGTGTGCACTGGCAATCACGCAGCCACACTGTGTGTTCCCCCCGTGTGCACTGGCAATCACGCGGCCACACTGTGTGTTCCCCCTGTACGCACTGGCAATCACGTGGTCACACTGTGTGTTCCCCCTGTACGCACTGGCAATCACGCGGTCACACTGTGTGTTCCCCCTGTACGCACTGGCAATCACGCGGCCACACTGTGTGTTCCCCCCGTATGCACTGGCAATCACGCAGCCACACTGTGTGTTCCCCCTGTACGCACTGGCAATCACGCGGTCACACTGTGTGTTCCCCCTGTACGCACTGGCAATCACGCGGTCACACTGTGTGTTCCCCCCGTGTGCACTGGCAATCACGCAGCCACACTGTGTGTTCCCCCCGTGTGCATTGGCAATCACGCGGCCACACTGTGTGTTCCCCCTGTACGCACTGGCAATCACGCGGTCACACTGTGTGTTCCCCCTGTACGCACTGGCAATCACGCGGTCACACTGTGTGTTCCCCCCGTGTGCACTGGCAATCACGCAGCCACACTGTGTGTTCCCCCCCGTGTGCACTGGCAATCACGCGGCCACACTGTGTGTTCCCCCTGTACGCACTGGCAATCACGTGGTCACACTGTGTGTTCCCCCTGTACGCACTGGCAATCACGCGGTCACACTGTGTGTTCCCCCTGTACGCACTGGCAATCACGCGGCCACACTGTGTGTTCCCCCCGTGTGCATTGGCAATCACGCAGCCACACTGTGTGTTCCCCCTGTACGCACTGGCAATCACGCGGTCACACTGTGTGTTCCCCCCGTGTGCACTGGCAATCACGCAGCCACACTGTGTGTTCCCCCTGTACGCACTGGCAATCACGCGGTCACACTGTGTGTTCCCCCTGTACGCACTGGCAATCACGTGGTCACACTGTGTGTTCCCCCCGTGTGCACTGGCAATCACGCAGCCACACTGTGTGTTCCCCCCGTGTGCACTGGCAATCACGCGGCCACACTGTGTGTTCCCCCCGTGTGCACTGGCAATCACGCAGCCACACTGTGTGTTCCCCCTGTACGCACTGGCAATCACGCGGTCACACTGTGTGTTCCCCCTGTACGCACTGGCAATCACGTGGTCACACTGTGTGTTCCCCCTGTACGCACTGGCAATCACGCGGTCACACTGTGTGTTCCCCCTGTATGCACTGGCAATCACGCGGTCACACTGTGTGTTCCCCCTGTACGCACTGGCAATCACGCAGCCACACTGTGTGTTCCCCCCGTACGCACTGGCAATCACGCGGTCACACTGTGTGTTCCCCCTGTATGCACTGGCAATCACGCGGTCACACTGTGTGTTCCCCCTGTACGCACTGGCAATCACGCAGCCACACTGTGTGTTCCCCCTGTACGCACTGGCAATCACGCGGTCACACTGTGTGTTCCCCCTGTACGCACTGGCAATCACGCGGTCACACTGTGTGTTCCCCCCGTGTGCACTGGCAATCACGCAGCCACACTGTGTGTTCCCCCCGTGTGCATTGGCAATCACGCGGCCACACTGTGTGTTCCCCCTGTACGCACTGGCAATCACGCGGTCACACTGTGTGTTCCCCCTGTACGCACTGGCAATCACGCGGTCACACTGTGTGTTCCCCCTGTACGCACTGGCAATCACGCGGCCACACTGTGTGTTCCCCCCGTGTGCATTGGCAATCACGCAGCCACACTGTGTGTTCCCCCTGTACGCACTGGCAATCACGCGGTCACACTGTGTGTTCCCCCCGTGTGCACTGGCAATCACGCAGCCACACTGTGTGTTCCCCCTGTACGCACTGGCAATCACGCGGTCACACTGTGTGTTCCCCCTGTACGCACTGGCAATCACGTGGTCACACTGTGTGTTCCCCCTGTACGCACTGGCAATCACGTGGTCACACTGTGTGTTCCCCCCGTGTGCACTGGCAATCACGCAGCCACACTGTGTGTTCCCCCCGTGTGCACTGGCAATCACGCGGCCACACTGTGTGTTCCCCCCGTGTGCACTGGCAATCACGCAGCCACACTGTGTGTTCCCCCCGTGTGCACTGGCAATCACGCGGCCACACTGTGTGTTCCCCCTGTACGCACTGGCAATCACGTGGTCACACTGTGTGTTCCCCCTGTACGCACTGGCAATCACGCGGTCACACTGTGTGTTCCCCCTGTACGCACTGGCAATCACGCGGCCACACTGTGTGTTCCCCCCGTGTGCATTGGCAATCACGCAGCCACACTGTGTGTTCCCCCTGTACGCACTGGCAATCACGCAGCCACACTGTGTGTTCCCCCTGTACGCACTGGCAATCACGCGGTCACACTGTGTGTTCCCCCCGTGTGCACTGGCAATCACGCAGCCACACTGTGTGTTCCCCCTGTACGCACTGGCAATCACGCGGTCACACTGTGTGTTCCCCCTGTACGCACTGGCAATCACGTGGTCACACTGTGTGTTCCCCCTGTACGCACTGGCAATCACGCAGCCACACTGTGTGTTCCCCCCGTGTGCATTGGCAATCACGCGGCCACACTGTGTGTTCCCCCTGTGCGCACTGGCAATCACGTGGTCACACTGTGTGTTCCCCCCGTGTGCACTGGCAATCACGCGGCCACACTGTGTGTTCCCCCCGTGTGCATTGGCAATCACGCAGCCACACTGTGTGTTCCCCCTGTACGCACTGGCAATCACGCGGTCACACTGTGTGTTCCCCCCGTGTGCACTGGCAATCACGCGGCCACACTGTGTGTTCCCCCCGTGTGCATTGGCAATCACGCAGCCACACTGTGTGTTCCCCCTGTACGCACTGGCAATCACGTGGTCACACTGTGTGTTCCCCCCGTGTGCACTGGCAATCACGCGGCCACACTGTGTGTTCCCCCCGTGTGCACTGGCAATCACGCGGCCACACTGTGTGTTCCCCCTGTATGCACTGGCAATCACGCAGCCACACTGTGTGTTCCCCCTGTGCGCACTGGCAATCACGCGGTCACACTGTGTGTTCCCCCCGTATGCACTGGCAATCACGCAGCCACACTGTGTGTTCCCCCTGTACGCACTGGCAATCACGCGGTCACACTGTGTGTTCCCCCTGTACGCACTGGCAATCACGTGGTCACACTGTGTGTTCCCCCTGTACGCACTGGCAATCACGTGGTCACACTGTGTGTTCCCCCCGTGTGCACTGGCAATCACGCAGCCACACTGTGTGTTCCCCCTGTGTGCACTGGCAATCACGCAGCCACACTGTGTGTTCCCCCCGTGTGCATTGGCAATCACGTGGTCACACTGTGTGTTCCCCCTGTACGCACTGGCAATCACGCGGTCACACTGTGTGTTCCCCCTGTACGCACTGGCAATCACGCAGCCACACTGTGTGTTCCCCCTGTACGCACTGGCAATCACGCGGTCACACTCTGTGTTCCCCCCGTGTGCACTGGCAATCACGCAGCCACACTGTGTGTTCCCCCTGTACGCACTGGCAATCACGCGGCCACACTGTGTGTTCCCCCTGTATGCACTGGCAATCACGCGGCCACACTGTGTGTTCCCCCCGTGTGCACTGGCAATCACGCAGCCACACTGTGTGTTCCCCCTGTGCGCACTGGCAATCACGCGGTCACACTCTGTGTTCCCCCCGTATGCACTGGCAATCACGCAGCCACACTGTGTGTTCCCCCCGTATGCACTGGCAATCACGCAGCCACACTGTGTGTTCCCCCTGTACGCACTGGCAATCACGCAGCCACACTGTGTGTTCCCCCTGTGCGCACTGGCAATCACGCGGTCACACTCTGTGTTCCCCCCGTATGCACTGGCAATCACGCAGCCACACTGTGTGTTCCCCCCGTGTGCACTGGCAATCACGCAGCCACACTGTGTGTTCCCCCTGTACGCACTGGCAATCACGCGGTCACACTGTGTGTTCCCCCTGTACGCACTGGCAATCACGCGGTCACACTGTGTGTTCCCCCTGTACGCACTGGCAATCACGCAGCCACACTGTGTGTTCCCCCTGTACGCACTGGCAATCACGCGGTCACACTGTGTGTTCCCCCTGTACGCACTGGCAATCACGTGGTCACACTGTGTGTTCCCCCTGTACGCAGTGGCAATCACGCGGTCACACTGTGTGTTCCCCCTGTACGCACTGGCAATCACGCAGCCACACTGTGTGTTCCCCCCGTGTGCACTGGCAATCACGCAGCCACACTGTGTGTTCCCCCTGTACACACTGGCAATCACGCGGCCACACTGTGTGTTCCCCCCGTGTGCACTGGCAATCACGCAGCCACACTGTGTGTTCCCCCTGTACGCACTGGCAATCACGCGGTCACACTGTGTGTTCCCCCTGTACGCACTGGCAATCACGCGGTCACACTGTGTGTTCCCCCTGTACGCACTGGCAATCACGCGGTCACACTGTGTGTTCCCCCTGTACGCACTGGCAATCACGCAGCCACACTGTGTGTTCCCCCTGTGTGCACTGGCAATCACGTAGCCACACTGTGTGTTCCCCCCGTGTGCACTGGCAATCACGCAGCCACACTGTGTGTTCCCCCTGTACGCACTGGCAATCACGCGGTCACACTGTGTGTTCCCCCCGTGTGCACTGGCAATCACGCAGCCACACTGTGTGTTCCCCCTGTACGCACTGGCAATCACGCGGCCACACTGTGTGTTCCCCCCGTGTGCACTGGCAATCACGCGGCCACACTGTGTGTTCCCCCCGTGTGCACTGGCAATCACGTAGCCACACTGTGTGTTCCCCCCGTGTGCACTGGCAATCACGCAGCCACACTGTGTGTTCCCCCTGTACGCACTGGCAATCACGCGGTCACACTGTGTGTTCCCCCTGTACACACTGGCAATCACGCGGCCACACTGTGTGTTCCCCCCGTGTGCACTGGCAATCACGCGGCCACACTGTGTGTTCCCCCCGTGTGCACTGGCAATCACGCAGCCACACTGTGTGTTCCCCCTGTACGCACTGGCAATCACGCGGTCACACTGTGTGTTCCCCCTGTACGCACTGGCAATCACGCGGTCACACTGTGTGTTCCCCCTGTACGCACTGGCAATCACGCGGTCACACTGTGTGTTCCCCCTGTACGCACTGGCAATCACGCAGCCACACTGTGTGTTCCCCCTGTACGCACTGGCAATCACGCGGTCACACTGTGTGTTCCCCCCGTGTGCATTGGCAATCACGCGGTCACACTGTGTGTTCCCCCTGTATGCACTGGCAATCACGCGGTCACACTGTGTGTTCCCCCTGTACGCACTGGCAATCACGCGGCCACACTGTGTGTTCCCCCTGTACGCACTGGCAATCACGCGGCCACACTGTGTGTTCCCCCCGTGTGCACTGGCAATCACGCAGCCACACTGTGTGTTCCCCCTGTACGCACTGGCAATCACGCGGTCACACTGTGTGTTCCCCCTGTACGCACTGGCAATCACGCGGTCACACTGTGTGTTCCCCCTGTACGCACTGGCAATCACGCGGTCACACTGTGTGTTCCCCCTGTACGCACTGGCAATCACGCAGCCACACTGTGTGTTCCCCCTGTACGCACTGGCAATCACGCGGTCACACTGTGTGTTCCCCCCGTGTGCATTGGCAATCACGCGGTCACACTGTGTGTTCCCCCCGTGTGCACTGGCAATCACGCGGTCACACTGTGTGTTCCCCCCGTGTGCACTGGCAATCACGCGGTCACACTGTGTGTTCCCCCTGTATGCACTGGCAATCACGCGGTCACACTGTGTGTTCCCCCTGTACGCACTGGCAATCACGCAGCCACACTGTGTGTTCCCCCTGTGCGCACTGGCAATCACGCGGTCACACTCTGTGTTCCCCCCGTATGCACTGGCAATCACGCAGCCACACTGTGTGTTCCCCCCGTACGCACTGGCAATCACGCGGTCACACTGTGTGTTCCCCCTGTACGCACTGGCAATCACGTGGTCACACTGTGTGTTCCCCCTGTACGCACTGGCAATCACGTGGTCACACTGTGTGTTCCCCCCGTGTGCACTGGCAATCACGCAGCCACACTGTGTGTTCCCCCTGTGTGCACTGGCAATCACGCAGCCACACTGTGTGTTCCCCCCGTGTGCATTGGCAATCACGTGGTCACACTGTGTGTTCCCCCTGTACGCACTGGCAATCACGCGGTCACACTGTGTGTTCCCCCTGTACACACTGGCAATCACGCGGCCACACTGTGTGTTCCCCCCGTGTGCACTGGCAATCACGCAGCCACACTGTGTGTTCCCCCTGTACGCACTGGCAATCACGCGGTCACACTGTGTGTTCCCCCTGTACACACTGGCAATCACGCGGCCACACTGTGTGTTCCCCCCGTGTGCATTGGCAATCACGCGGCCACACTGTGTGTTCCCCCTGTACGCACTGGCAATCACGCGGCCACACTGTGTGTTCCCCCCGTGTGCACTGGCAATCACGCAGCCACACTGTGTGTTCCCCCTGTACGCACTGGCAATCACGCAGCCACACTGTGTGTTCCCCCTGTACGCACTGGCAATCACGCGGTCACACTGTGTGTTCCCCCTGTACGCACTGGCAATCACGCGGTCACACTGTGTGTTCCCCCTGTACGCACTGGCAATCACGCGGTCACACTGTGTGTTCCCCCTGTACGCACTGGCAATCACGCGGTCACACTGTGTGTTCCCCCTGTACGCACTGGCAATCACGCAGCCACACTGTGTGTTCCCCCTGTACGCACTGGCAATCACGCGGTCACACTGTGTGTTCCCCCCGTACGCACTGGCAATCACGCGGTCACACTGTGTGTTCCCCCTGTACGCACTGGCAATCACGCAGCCACACTGTGTGTTCCCCCTGTACGCACTGGCAATCACGCAGCCACACTGTGTGTTCCCCCTGTACGCACTGGCAATCACGTAGTCACACTCTGTGTTCCCCCCGTATGCACAGGCAATCACGTGGTCACACTGTGTGTTCCTTCCGTGTGCCGTGCACACTGGTAATTTGAAGGTCACACTATCATGCCCCATTGGCCCCCACGGCCTCTTGCACAAGTATTGCCTGGAGTCCACAGACATCTCAGGCGTCACCGGGAGCCGACTCTCCTGGGCCTGGTGTTGGATCTGCTCTGTTCCCCGGGGTGTTCCCTGGTGCCAACAACAGTGCCTGTCCGGGGTACTTGGGAGAAGCAATCAGGAAAGCGTTTGGAGACTCTCTGATGTGTCTGTGGACCACGGATGATAAACGGCTTAGAGGAGACAGGCCACACCTCTCAGGTTCCGAGGCCTCAGCAGGGGTATGGGTTTTTACGGCATTTTTCACTAATGGCAAGTGCAAACTCAGTGGATTTTGTCTGAGAAACAAGTATGTTTTCAGCTTGAGAAATACATTTATTTGTACTCTCATTCCAGAAAATAACTGGATGAGACATTATAAATATACGATAATGAAAATCATTTGGTTACCTGTAGAAGCTGAACTAATGTAGCAAGAATAGTAATGGTAAAACATAGCAACTCATCCACCTAAAAATAGACACGCAGATTCATTCTATGAAGTAATTGATCTATCTGAATCAACAGAGGCATAGTATATGGGTATTACACACAGGAGCTCTACAGAGATCTGTAACTACCCCTAAAGTAACGGGACCATCTTTCTACATCACACATGAGAATTATATGTCGGCATTATACAGAGATTTCCAAGTACCCCTAAAGTAATGGGACCATCATTTTATATCACATATGAGTATTATATACAGGCATTATAGGGAGATTTATAACTACTCCCAAAGTAATGAGACCATCTTTCTATATCACATAAGAGTTATTATATACAGGCATTATATGGAGATATCTAACTACCTCTAAAGTAATGAGAACATTTTTCTGTATCATATAGGAGTTATTATATATAGGTGTTATACAGAGATATCTAACTACCCCTAAAGTAATGGGACCATCTTTCTATATCACGTAAGAGTTATTATATACAGGCATTATACAGAGATATCTAACCACCTCTAAAGTAACGGGACCATCTTTCTATACCACATTAAATCAGTTCACAGAGACATCAAAGTGACAAACCTTCTATCGATGATTATTTTATGCCCACTTTTGTGTGTTTCTGTTGTCCCTGTAGAATTGTGACTCCCTGGACTCTGAGACTCAGGGGAGGTGCCGGCACCCGAATCTGTCACCTGGGTTGGGGCACAGCAGCCACCTCCTCCTGGTTAATCGAGGCCCCGGAAGAGGCTGCTCCAGGCTTGTCCCTTGGTCAGTTTAAAAACACTAAGTGCCATGTTGTTTGTTGATGTCCAGTTCAAAGCACAGAGCACAAGGACTTCTCAGCAGGTCGCCTTTTGTTAAAGGTTAAAGGTGGCCTTTTGTTAAAGAGGGAGACACAGAGAGAGATTTATCTTTAGGGAATTGGCTTGTGTGACCGTGGAAGCCGGCAGGTCCAAGGTCTGCAGGGTGGACCCTCGGCTGGAGACCCGGGGAAGAGCCAGCACTGCCAGTCTAGTCTGAAGCCGTCGGACGCAGAGTTCCTTCCTGGTGCAGGGTGTTATCTCTGTTCTAGTCAGGCCTTCAACGGATCGGAGGAGACCCACCCACGCTATGCAGGCTCATCTTCTTTCCTCACAGCCCACCCATCCAACGCCTTCCAGAGGCCTCTAGAGTAATGTCCCATCAGACCCGGGCACCGTGGCCCAGCCCAGTGGAGGAATACAGCTAACCACCACACACGCTCAACTCTGAAAATCCTCAGGGATTCCAAATGTTCTTTACTACCAATTTTCTCAAGTGTTTCGGCTGTGTGAAATTTAGCAGAATTGGTCATTGAATCATTGGAAACAAAAAATAAAACCTATTGAGTGACTGTTTGTGAAAATTTACAAAAGCACAGTCAGGCCTCCAGAGCGAGTGCTCCTAACCCGAGCTGGGCCAAAGACACTGTGTGCAGACGTCCCGGAGGGCAGTGCCGAGGACACTGTGAGTGCAGACGTCCCCACGGAGGGCAGTGCCGAGGACATTCTGTGAGTGCAGACGTCCCCACGGAGGGCAGTGCCGAGGACACTGTGAGTGCAGACGTCCCCACGGAGGGCAGTGCCGAGGACACTGTGAGTGCAGACGTCCCCACGGAGGGCAGTGCCGAGGACATTCTGTGAGTGCAGACGTCCCCACGGAGGGCAGTGCCGAGGACACTGTGAGTGCAGACGTCCCCATGGAGGGCAGTGCCGAGGACATTCTGTGAGTGCAGACGTCCCCACGGAGGGCAGTGCCGAGGACACTGTGAGTGCAGACGTCCCCACGGAGGGCAGTGCCGAGGACACTGTGAGTGCAGACGTCCCCACGGAGGGCAGTGCCGAGGACATTCCGTGAGTGCAGACGTCCCCACGGAGGGCAGTGCCGAGGACATTCTGTGAGTGCAGACGTCCCCACGGAGGGCAGTGCCGAGGACACTGTGAGTGCAGACGTCCCCACGGAGGGCAGTGCCGAGGACATTCTGTGAGTGCAGACGTCCCCATTTACGGAGGGCAGTGCCGAGGACACTGTGAGTGCAGACGTCCCCACGGAGGGCAGTGCCGAGGACAGTGTGTGTGCAGACGTCCCCACGGAGGGCAGTGCCGAGGACACTGTGAGTGCAGACGTCCCCATGGACGGGCAGTGCCGAGGACACTGTGAGTGCAGACGTCCCCACGGAGGGCAGTGCCGAGGACAGTGTGTGTGCAGACGTCCCCACGGAGGGCAGTGCCGAGGACACTGTGAGTGCAGACGTCCCCATGGACGGGCAGTGCCGAGGACATTCTGTGAGTGCAGACGTCCCCACGGAGGGCAGTGCCGAGGACAGTGTGTGTGCAGACGTCCCCATTTACAGAGGGCAGTGCCGAGGACACTGTGAGTGCAGACGTCCCCATTTACGGAGGGCAGTGCCGAGGACATTCTGTGAGTGCAGACGTCCCCATGGACGGGCAGTGCCGAGGACAGTGTGTGTGCAGACGTCCCCACGGAGGGCAGTGCCGAGGACACTGTGAGTGCAGACGTCCCCATGGACGGGCAGTGCTGAAGTCCTGATGAGCGAGTCTGAGGGGAACGGTGCCACTGCGGCAGCACCCCCTCGCCCCAGGCCCTCAGATGTGTGAGGGCTGGGAAATCCCCTCTCTCTCTCTGGAAGTGCACAGGGTCCCCTCCCCTAAGGAGTCACCAGGATGCCTCAAAGGGTTCTCTTCCCCTCTCACCCAGCTCCAGCCTTGGGAGTCCTCTCACGCTGGGACCCTCCGTTGCCGGGGCCTGGGACGTGTCTTCCGCCCTCTTGCTGACTGTCTCCCATGCTGTCTGCCACCTCCGCCTTCCCAGGCCCTTCTCAAATGTTAGAACTTCCTGCCTGATCCTTTGATCACTCACTGTGTTTCGCATTCTTTTTTCTCTCAGGAAGAGCTCTGTATGAATCCAGTCTCACATTGCTATAAAGAAATACCCCAGACTGGGTAATTTATAGAGAAAAGAGGTTTAGTTGGCTCACAGTTTTGCAGACTTCACAGGAAGCATGGCAGCTTCTGCTTCTGGGGAGGCCTCGGGAAGCTTCCAATCATGGTGGAAGGCAAAGCAGGAACAGGCGTCTCACAGGGTCAGAGCAGGAGCAAGAGCGAGGTGGGAGCTGCCACACACTTTTAAATGACCAGATCTCATGAGAACGCACTCACTGTCTCGAGGACAGTGCCAAGGGATGGTGCTAGCTCATTCATGAGAATCCACCCTGAGATCCAAGCACCTCCCGCCAGGCCCCACCTCCAACGCTGGGGACTAAGAGTCAACAGGAGATTTTGTGCGGACACGGAGCCAAGCCTTATCAAGCTCCCACACTTAATACTTGGATAATTATTCTCAGCAATCTGTTCTTGTTCCATGAATGCATAGTCCCATCATCTCTTGGAGGGTAGTCATTATATTTTTTGGAAATTATCCGTATTCTCTGATTATTTGTTTCCTCTGGGCTTTTTTGATTTCTTTATTTTGGTTTTTATCTTGACTGCTACCTGTCTGTACTCGTTTAAAAAGGAAGGCTTTGAGTGTTGCTCTACCAAGTAACCCCATACCACCCTCCAACAGAAAACAACCGAAAGTCTGGAAAAAGATGTAAGAAAACATCCTTGAAGATGCGAGAGGGCTGATAGTAAGGAAGGGGCTGCTGAGTCAGAATATGCTGTAGAACAGGGCCCCGGTGGGGAGTGCTCACTCAGGGACAAGCCTCCCCTGGGGCTGTTTCCCAACGGTAGAGCCGCAGAGGCTGAGCATTGGTGAGGGGCTTGGGGCCGAGCCCAGATCCACATGACCCCAGGCTGGTCCGCCCCGTGAACACAGCTCCCCATAAGCCAACTCAGTCTCTGGAACTGGGCCAAGATTACCCCAAAGTTTTAGTAGAATGTGCAGATGCCCTACAGAGCAAATGTTACTTCTTTCTTTCTTCTTATCTCACTTTAGTAAGAAAAATTACCTCTTCGATTTTTCTACTAAAATGGTTGACACTTAATTGATTATAATCAGATACCCAGGAGGAAGGAAGATATCAGCAGAATCTCCTTAGAATAAAAGAAATGAACAGTTTAAGCAGATCCAGTGTAGCTCAGATGGACCAACTATGACCACCGTCATTGGGGCAGCCTGGCCTTGGAGGGTGGCCTGGACACAGAGGTCCCCATGGCATTGGAGGGTGGCCTGGACACAGAGGTCCCCATGGCATTGGAGGGTGGCCTGGACACAGAGGTCCCCAGAGCAGGACAGGAGTTCAGAAGTAAACCCAGGTACATATGGTCAATGGATTTTGAACAAAGGTCCCAAGGAAATTCAGTGGGGAATGAATAATCTTTTTAATAAGTTGCACTGGAACAGTTGAAAACTTGAATTCTGAAAGGAAACTTTGATCATAACCTCACATCATATGTAAAATTAAAATATTAGACAATGAGACATAAACTCATTTTGTTCAAAGATGGCATGATTGTGTTTATAGAAAACCACAAGGAACTTATGGAAAGATTATGAGAATTAATTAATATGTTGAGTAAGTGTGTTAGATACAAGGTAATGAAACAAAAACACAATTTTACATCAGAAACAAACAGAAAATGAAATTGGAAAACTATAAATAGGTAGGAAAAAATCTAAGCAGGATATGTAAGAGCCTTACACAGAAAATTGTGAGATGTTTTTGACAGAAATTAAGTCAATCCTAAACACGCGAGAGCTATACTGTTTTTACATTGAAAGACTCCACTTTAGTCTGTCCACCTCAAGCTGACCAGTAACTCAATGCAACTCCTTTCAAAACTCCAGTAGGTTTTGTTGTGTTTCTGAGAAAATTTCCATCCTTTTCTACAATTTTTGCAGGGAGACCAAGGAGGATGAATTGCACAGCTCGGGAATGAGGCTTACCAAAAAGCTAAACGAATAGGAAAATAGGCCTTGAGAAGATTAAAAAGCGGCCATTTGTATTTTGGGTAAAGAAGAGTTGATGAGAATTTGTTCTTCCCAAGTCTAAAGTAAATGGAGCACCCTTTTTAAAATTCTATTAATGCATTTCACTAAGAAGCATTAACGAGAAGACGATCAGCCGAGGGAAGTGGCCAGGGGATTGTCAGTGCCTCGGTTGGGCTGGTACGACATTTCACAGTTGTGTTTTCTCACACACCTCTTTTCTCAGGAGTGATTCAAAAAGCTGATTTCATCTCTCCACCCTGGAGGTGATAAGATATCACATAGAAATTCACCGTGGAAGGGGAAACAGGAAGAGAATGAGGTTTTTAATGACATGTCAAGCTGTCTGACTTTGCTGCTGAGTGCGTCTTTACTTCTCATGAAATGAATTTGAGGTCCACTAAAAATGGGATGAATATAATCCTCGGAATATTAACATAAGGAGCAGAATATAAATCTCAAAAATGTTTCTGAGGCATAAACAGTTGTTTTATCACAACTGTTTTTGAAGGTAGCTAGACTTATAAGAGATTCTTATATTTAAAGTGCTACATAAGGAAATCCAACTTTAAGCTTAAATTATTTAATTTGGTAGAGTAAAATATACTCCTAATATTGGAGAGAAGGCTAAAATAAAAAATTGTATTTTTTGAAACTCAGGAGACACTGCTGTCTTTAAAGGTTGAATAATTTACATATAATTACACTAGCATGAGCTACCACTTTTACTCCATAATGTAATAGAAATTTTAATGTTTCCATTAAAACAGTCATAAAATACAGTTTTTTAGAAAAAAGGAAACTAAATGTGACCATAAGATAATTTTTCAGGGTCAGCTTTTTTCAGATGTCTTATATTTTATGTTTGTTATAAAAAGGGGCGTCTTTCTCTGAGGCAAATCTATGCAATTTCTGATTCTACATGCTCTGTGTTTAGCATTTTTTGACTTAAAAAAATGACACAATTAGGATAATAATTATGAGCCCAAGCACGTAAATACTTGCCTTTAGAAGACTGATAATTATGAGGTTTTCCACCCAAAATGGATCTAAGGATGATACTTTGGTGTTTATTTGGGTTATATGCCAATTTAGGTACAATGTATAGGTAATCAGCGTGTAGGAAGAACAAGAGCTGGGTCTGGAGTGTGGACTCACCTTTAAAGCACGTTACACATGTGTTCAATATTACATTACACCCTGGTAGAGATGTTAAGTTAATTTATCCTGAGTCTAGAATTTACCACATTATCAACATAGACTATTCTAACACAAGTCTGCATACGGGATGTGCTACTACACGGAGTCAGGGGGCTGGGGGCAGGCTCAGCGTCCCCTCCTGCCACCCTCTGGTAGCACACAAGAAGATCCACCATCTGGGACTCGGCGGGGGGGACCACGGAACAAGGCGGCAGAAGACTGGGGTCTTCACATCCAGCCCGAGGGTCTGTGCCCAGCGGCTACAAGACTAGGATCAGCTCCCAGAGTCAGAGAACGTTGTGGCCACCACACCTGCAGAAGCCTCTTTCATGAGCTTCTCATCCTGTCTGCAGCTGGCGAGCGGGCTCACCTGGACCACACCTGGACCACAGAGCAGGACAGACCCCGTGCAGCTGTGTTCTCACCACGCCGAGATCGCCAGCCTGCCCAGAAAGTCCACAAGGGAATAGGTCAGGGGCCGAGCGCTGACCTGACCCCTGGGAGCCCTGATTCTGGTGTCTCCCAGGGCATGTCCCGCCCAGGTCTCCAGGGGGAAAACAGCAGACACTGAGCAATGTTGAGCAAACCCCAGTGTCATGAACTGGGCTCTGGCTTCCTGAATGCTGCTTCCCATCGACAACCCAGGAAGAAAGCCCTGAGAGCTGAGTGTGCACTGCCCGTCACTCAGGAGGAGGCAGCACAGCCTCAGGAACAGGACTCGGGTGGTGAGTGTGCACCAGCCGTTATTTCTGATGGCTGAGTGTAGATTTATACATGCTATCATTTGTAATATTGTTTGTAATATTCAGGACAGATTGGAGAAAGAGGGTTCCTTTTGCTTTCTTAACACCTTTCTGCCTGTTCGTTTCATATATGATTTAATGATCTGAAAGCATTCTCATTGATTGAAAAAAAAGTACTCATAATATTATTTTGTGCAAGAGTTTCAAGGCAGTTATGGATACAGTCACATGGAGGATACTACATAATTTTTAACGCATTTGTAAAGTTTAAGTTTGGGTGTTGAGCGTGATTCAAGAGCTGCGATTTTTGATGAAAGCTGAGTGCTTGTTAAATAAAACTGAGGAAATTTCCTCTGATTGATGCAAAGTGCCATAAAAGAAAAATGACACAGCATTGAGTCATTGAGTATTAGATAACTTTATTCTCACCAAAAAAGTTTAGAAATAAGCAACTCATAGATGTGAAAGCAGGATTTTTGGACAACAGTCACATGGCCAAGTTTTCAGTGTCAAAGGCCTCTTGCAAACAATTTATAATGCTACTTTCAGTGACTCTTGCAAGGATTGGATTTAGACAAAACTCAGCACTCACTCCTTTCATCCAGGGCCCTGCATTGAGGAGCAGGGAGGCATAGACACGTGGGAATCAGAGTGCAGACGTATTGATCTGGCCGCAATTGATCAAAGTGAAGACGTACTGACCTGGCCGCAGTTGACAACCCCAAATGTGGCGCCATATTCTTTCAAAGAAGATACCATTTGATCGGGGAGGTCTGAGCTCCTTCCTCTGAACGCTGTGTCTTCAGGCCTTGTGTATTCAGAGGAGGGACTCAGACCCAGGATTGGGCAGGGGTTTTGGGGGGTCCTGTGGATGCTGTGAGAGCTGAGCAGCTTCCTCTGCCCTCTGGGAGAGCAGTGGTCTCATAAGACTTCCTTCTGGAGAGGAGCACAGGGTGTCTGGACAGCCACCCACCCCGAGCCCCTGGTCGATAGACTCCAAGAAGAGGAGAATCAATCAATCTATGGAAACTGACCCAGAAACAGAACAGACAATAGAAATAGAAGATACAGACTTTAAAACAGCCATATGGATCGTGTTCCGGATGTTCAGGAAGGAAGAGGGAAGAGAGGACGCATTAAATAGAGCCAGGGAAAATCAGAAAGGCCAAAATCAAAGTTTGAAGATAACAACATCAGTGTCAGAAATAAAAACACAACAAATCTGGTGGGGTGGAGGGTGAGTGAACATTGCAAAAGAAGAAATCGGTTCACTTGAAGACGGCCACAGAGACCCCTCAAACGGAGACAGAGGACCTGTGAGCTGTGGCAAGCTTCACAAAGCCTCATATACTCAAAGTTGATGTCCACAAAGGAGAGTGGATTTGGGGAAAAATAAGAAAATGTGTAGGAAAAAACTGGCCAAAACATCAAAATTTCATAAAAACTATCAACACAGATCCAGGAAGCTCCAGCAACCCCAAGCACAGGAAACATGAAGAAAAGCACGTCAGGGAACATTCTAATGAAATGGCAAAATCTCCTGCTTCGCAGACCCAGCAAAAGGGCACACTGCAGAGAGAAACAGCCAAGAAACCCAGCAAACGGGCAGAGTGGGAGGTCTTAACTAACGAGAGAATACACGGTCAAATTGGAACATTTTTTCAGCAGGTTTATCTTTCCAAAATGAGGGTGCTACGAAGACATTTTCACAAGCAGAAAAGATGACGACATCCATGGCCAGTGTTGGCGGCACGCACTTACGGGGACATCCACCGAATGAAGTCAAGGGCGCCGGGTAAGGAGCTGGCCCTCCAGCAAGGGAAGAGAATATGGGAAATGGCTCCTGCACGCTTCGCAGAAAATACTTCTCATTATTTTCATCTACTTAAAACATACTTGACCTCCTAAAACAAGTTTAGTATCAGCGCATCGTTGGGTTTATAGTACGCATAGAATAAAACGTACGTTGGTAATAGCACTGTGGCTGCGGGCAGACAATGGCAGGGGATCCTTCCCGGGCCTTTCACTGCCGTGAAATGGCACAGCGTTGCTCGGAGGAAGACTGTGGTATGTTAACCATGTGTATCAGAAACCCAAAGCAACCACAAAATTAACACAGCAATGAGTTTAGCTAGTAAGTTACAAAATAAAGTAAAATGTAATGATAAAAATAATTAGCAATTCTAGTGTTAGCTCCAACGCATAAACAGCGTATCCTCTGTCGCTTCCAAACTCACAGGCAGAAGCAGGAAAAAGCTGAGCGGTCAGTGAACAGGCGCAAGTGTACAGTGAGATGGAAGGAATAATACGTTCCAGCCTTCAGGAGCAGGTGAACGGATGCAAACGTATGGTGAGATGGAAGGAATATGTTCCAACCTTCAGGAGCAGGTGAATGGGTGCAAACGTATGGTGAGATAGAAGGAATACGTTGCAGCCTTCAGGAGCATGGTAGGGTGAGTAGAGTTCACAGTAACTTATTGTGTATTTCAGAGAGCTGGAAGAGAAAGTCATGTTCCCAACACAAAGAAATCATGTCTGAAGCGGTGGGCATCCCAGCGACCCTGATTTGAACATCACACATTGCATGCGTGTATGAAAACTTCCCATAAATACGGACAGCGCGCTGGACAGGTGAGCAATACTGCCTGGGCTCTGCAGCTTCTGGCCTGGTGCCTACCTGGCTGTGACAAGCAGGCCAGGACAGGCGTCGCCTCTGACCAGCCCTGCCTGCGACGAAGGCCACCACCCACTCCCCAGGACAACGGAGGTCTCACAGTGTCCACCGCAGCTGTGCCATGGGAACCCTGGGGGTCCCGCAAAAGAATATTGTCAAGAAATACAGTGTGAATTCCTCTGAGAAGCAAATTCTGCTTATGACCAGTGTGTCAATTGTTAGACAAGATTCAAAAAATGCTTGTGAGCAAGTTTTACAAAGCACATTGAGAAGGAGGCTGGTGGGCTGGGCGCAGTGGCTCACACCTGCAATCCCAGCACTGTGGGAGGCCAGGGTGGGTGGATCACTTGAGGTCAGGAGTTCAAGACCAGCCTGGCCAACATGGTGAAACCCCGTCTCTGCTAAAACTAGAAAAATTAGCTGGATATGGTGGAGCATGCCTGTAATCCCAGCCACTCGGGAGGCTGAGGCAGGAGAATCGCTTGAACCCGGGAGGCAGAGGTTGCAGTGAGCCGAGATTACCATAGAGACCCCCAGGCATCAGACGCCACATTAGGAGTGCCCTGGATACCAGTTACTGTGTCCTCCTAGGACGGATGCGATCACCAGCTGCATCCTGGGAACGCCGTGCAGGCTGAGCTTTGACAGAAGCCAAGGTGAGACCCATGCCCTGCACACAGGGACTCCTCTCCAGCACCCACCCTTCCCACACAGCAGAACTTAGGCCCCGCGTGGCCCAGGTAAGCCTGGCTTTGTCCTGCTGCTCTCCTCCAGTAAAGCTGTGGGCCGGGAGGAGGGGATGCTGACCTAGCAACTGCACCTGCTGTGCGTGCCCCGGGAAGCGGTTTCACTGCTGGCTTATCTGTTTAGATTCTGTCCAGCCTCCCTTAGACGAGGCTTTTTGCTCCTCAGGCAGGCAGGGGAGAAGGGAAGGATAGGAAGGTAGTGTCTGTAGGCTGGCTCTGTCCCTATTTTCAACTTTTCCCTGCTTTCTCTTGTTTTTACCCAGAGTCAATCTTGCCCATGTAGAAGCAGGCGGATCAGCAGCAGCTTCGTTCTTTGCATCAGACTTGTCAGTGTCTTTGGTTTTATTTTTTAAAAATACTAGAGAAAGATTGTTTATTCTAAGGCAAACATTTGAAAAGACTGCTTTGTGTAAACTGAGATCAGCTCTATGTATACTTGTATATACCAATGTGCCTGTGTGTATGTGTATGTATTGTGTACATGTGTGTATGTGTGTATACATGTGTGTATACGTGTATGTGTGTATGTGCATGTGCATGTGTGTATATGTGTATGTGTGTATGTGTGTATGCATGTATGTGTGTATATATGTATGTGTGTGTGCGTGTGCATGTGTGTGTATACATGTGTGTATGCATGTATATGTGTATGTGTGTATGAATTTCTCCCCCGACCCCTTTCTAATTTGCTCACAACGTTGCCTTTCCTCCTCTGAGGTTTGGCTGCACCAGGTCTTTGCCCAGCCCTGGGCACGCAGGTGGTTCAGAGTGAGCCTCAGTCCTGGCATCCCAGCTGGTTTTGAGAGCCAGAGTGCCTGCATGGCCTTGGCAGGTTTGCAGAATGAGAAAGGAGGCATGAGTCCAGTTGCGGGAAAATACAAAGCAAGGACCCATGGAAGGTGCGATCTGGAGATGTAGGCCTCAGAGGTGTCAGAGCACGTGGCCGGCAGCTGCAGGTGAAGCTAAAGAAGGCTCTGCCACTCCCGCTCTCAGCCTCACGTCCGAGAGTCTTGGACACAGAGTGTGGGAGCAGCCGACTCTGAAATAAAAGGAACAGGCGGAGGCACTTTGCAAGGTAACTCTCACGGTTATCACTCTGGTTAAAGTTCCAATTCCAACCGTTTCCCATTGTGCAGGGCACCTTCAGCACCTGCAGATGGAATCCAATGATGAGGGCGGGCGGTCAGTCCAGGAGACACTTCCACACTTGCACCACCGCCTCCCCGGGGGGAAATGTTGTCAGGTCGAGCAGATGAGGTGGCGTCAGAGGACCTCAGTGGTGGCAAAGGTCCCTCCTGGACCAGCCTTCCTTCCTTCGGGCTCCTCTGAGCCTCTCCGACACGCCTGGACCTTGACCTTCTGTGTCCACCCTGAGCTTGCTGGGCCTGCCCAGCCTTAGCAAGAATCCTGTGACATCCATTCATCCAGAACACTCCACTCCTGGTGTCTGACCAAATTCCCCATCCTCACTCTTCCTGTCTGATCCCGCTGCCCTGCCCTCAACAAGAAACCTGTGCCTCGACATCTCCTCCTGGTCATTTTCTGTCCCCCAACTGTGCTCATCGGCACAAGTCAGCCGCCTTTGCTCTATTCAGAGTTGAGTGTGACCTTCTCCCCTATCGCAGAGGTACCGAGTGAAGCCTTAGTCACCACCTCAGCAAGAATCAGAATGTGAGGAGAATGGTGGGCCCCTCCCCACCCCATCTCCTTCTGCAACTGCCAGTGGCCAAGAGCCCAGCAGGCAGGGTCGGCTCCAGGTGAAGGAGTGGACCCAGCAGAAGCTGCCAGGAGTTCTGTCCTGAAAGGAGATATTCATTGTTCTCAAGAATCCTTGAGAGACTCAGAAACCAATTGGATAACTTGGGAAATGTCCAGCAGAGTCCCAGCCCCCAGGGGGATGTGTCAGTGCGTGGCGTCGCGGTGCGGTGGCTGTGGTGCCGCGTAAGGGACAGACGCCATAAGCGTGGCCCAGAGCAGGGTCGTGCCGGCTGAGCTGGGCCCCTCCAAAAAGACATGCTGGAGACTGAACCTCCTGGACCTCAGACTGTGACTGTTTGAAGATGGGGTCTTCACAGAGTTCAAATTACAGTGAGTTCATTAGGGTGCACCCTGATCCAGTGCAAATGGGGTCTTCATGGAAAGGGGAAATTTGGGCATAAAGACACGCACAAGGGAAAGACAAGGTGAGGACACGGGGGAAGACGGCCAAGCACAGGCCTCCCTCGCAGCCTTGGAAGGAACAAGCCCTTGGGTGTCTTGGCCTTGGATGTCCAGCCTCAGGAGCTGGGAGATGGGGGTGTCTGTCATCTCAGCCCCCTCGGGAGCTGGGGACGGGGTGTCTGTGGTCTGAGCCACCTTAGGAGCTGGGGACGGGGTGTCTGTGGTCTGAGCCACCTTAGGAGCTGGGGACGGGGGTGTCTGTCATCTGAGCTGCTCCGTCAGTGGTTCATGCAGTGGCTGGCCGTCGAGTACAGGGAGCGCAATCTCGATCTCCGTGATGAGAGGAGGAAGGGCCTCTCATTTGACACTAGGGGACTCAAGGGAATAAGCTGACCTTCTGCTAACCAGGCTTGGGACTAAGCCTTGAGTTGGGAACTGGTCCCAGCTGGGGCAGCAGGGGCGGAGGCTGGGAGAGGCTGAATCCGCCCACGGGTCCTGGGGAGACCCAGAATCCCGGGTGCAAACGTCACTAGCGCCAAACACCCTGCCCTCTTCAAACCCCAGACAGAAGTGTTTTCCATCTCAGGTAAGCCGAGTATAAACATTTCCATCCAGAAAAGTTCAAATACAAATGGACAACACAAATCATTTAAGTAATTGTTACACAGCTACGTGATACTACAGCAATGTGTTTTCAGTATACATAGGATAACTAAAACACTTATTATAATAATCCAAATATATCAAATAATTAACCTTGTAAAATGATATCCAGCATTTCTTAGATAAAGAGCAAAGATGCTTTTAAAAATGTGCATTTTGAAACCATTAGGCAATTCCTAGTACATGTTCAAAAGCCACTTCCACGCACAAAAACACTAAAATATCTAATGCATAATTAAAATATTATTTAAAACAGATAAAAGAAAGTGTAGGTTTTTTTAATGATATGCCAGGCATGGTGGCATGTGCTTGGAGTCCCAGCTACTCAGGAGGCTGAGGTAGGAGGAACCCTAAGGCCAGGAGGTCCAGGCTGCAGTGCGCCGTGACTGACCGTGCCACTACACTCCAGCCTGGGTGACAGAGCAAGATCCTGTCTTTAAAATAAATTACATTACATTAAAAATTAAAAATATGATGCCTTCTACAGAGCTGGCATTTCCATTTCAGCGCAATGTTAAAAATCCCCCACTCAAGAAGTGTCTTGCTGGCCGGGGTCTTCCTTACCCTTTGCATGTGTGAAGGAAGGTCGTGACCCCTGCGCTGCTGGTTACACATCACGGTTGCAAGTGGAAGAGAAATGTCTTTTAATAGAGGTTGCATCTATCCCATTTCCTTTTTTTCTACCCAATGCAAAATAAAAATATTTTAACTTCTCAACATTGGGCACATTCTATAAAATATCTCTCTATAATATTGTATATAACATTTGTATACAAAGTTTAAAAAACCTATTTTGTTATGACACTCATTGGAAGACTCAATGTTTTCATCAAATGTAAAAAGAACTAAGGACATATCTAATTTATAAAAATAAAAATTGCCAAAGAATTTAAAATGCACTTATAAATTAATACGCATTATCACAAAGTTAATATACAGCAAGGGTAGGTTTTGTGAGACCAGCGGACAAGTTATTATATTAATACTTAGAATGGTGTATTCATTTGTTCTCACCCTGCTATAAAGAAATGCCTGAGAGGGGTCATTTATCAAGGAAAGAGGTTTAATTGGCTCACGGTTCTGCAGGCTGTACAGGAAGCCTCGTGCTTCTGCTCGGCCTCTGGGGAGTTCAGGGAACCTTCAGTCCTGGCGAAGGTGAGGGAAGCAGGCTCTTCGGGAGGGAGAGACGGGCTGCGTTAGGAACAAGCGCGTAAGCGTGGCCCAGAGCAGGGTCGTGCCCGCTGAGCTGGGCCCCAACTCAGTTTCAAACGACCAGGTCTCACAATAACTTGCTCACTCAGTGTCACGAGGGCGTCACGGAGGCGACGGTGCGAAGCCATTTGTGGGAACGCCGGCCGTGATCCAATCACCTCCCACCAGGCCCCGCCTTCAACGCTGGAGATTCCACGTCCACGTGGGACGTGGGCAGGGATACGATCCAAACCGTATCAAATGTCAAAGACCTGGTTTAGGTCTGAATTTCAAAACGTCAAACTAAAGCCCAAAGCCACTGGCAGAGGAGCGTTTACTTTCCCTTTTAGGGTTTTACAGCTTGGCGATTTCATACTTCATCTTCCTTCCCCTGATTGATGCTGAATACAGGGGGAACGGAATGTGTCCCCTCAAAACCCACGTGTTGAAGCCCTAACCCCAACGTGATGGGATTAGGAGTGGAGCCTCTGTGGGGTGATTATAGGATGAGAAAGAGGCCGGAGCTGTCTCTCTCCCTGCCATGTGAGGACACACGGAGAAGGGGGCCATCCTCAAGCCACAGAGAGAGACCAAACGTGGCACCTGCCAGCCCTGGCCCTTCCAGCCTCCGGACTCTGAGGGATGAATTCCTGTCAGATAAGCCACAGTCTAGGGGATTTTGTTACAGCATCTGAAGCTAATACAGGGCGACTCTGGTCACTTGAGTGCCAAGGTTGCCTCTGTGGAAAACATTTCAGAGTTTATTTACTAACCTTGCCCAGCAGTGCCAGATTACGTCTTGATGTGTATAAATAGCTGGACAGGGATGACAGATGGACAGAGGTGGGTGGCTAAATGGGTGGGTAGAAGAACAGAGTGACAGATGCATGGATGGATGGATGGATGGATGGGTGGATGGATGGATGGTGGATGGATGGATGGATGGATGGATGGATGGTGGATGGATGGATGGATGGATGGTGGATGGTGGTGGATGGATGGATGGATGGATGGTGGATGGTGGTGGATGGATGGTGGATGGATGGATGGATGGATGGGTGGATGGATGGTGGATGGATCATGGATGGATGGATGGTGGATGGATGGATGGTGGATAGATGGATGGTGGATGGATGGTGGATGGATGGATGGATGGATGGATGGTGGATGGATGGATGGATGGTGGGTGGATGGTGGATGGATGGATGGATGGATGGATGGATGGATGGTGGATGGATGGTGGATGGATGGGGATGGATGGTGGATGGATGCATGGATGGTGGATGGATGGTGGTGGATGGATGCATGGATGGTGGATGGATGCATGGATGGTGGATGGATGGTGGATGGTGGATGGATGGATGGATGCATGGATGGTGGATGGATGCATGGATGGTGGATGGATGCATGGATGGTGGATGATGGATGGATGGGTGGATGATGGATGGATGGGTGGATGGATGGATGATGGATGGATGGATGGATGCATGGATGGATGGATGGATGGATGATGGATGGATGGTGGATGGTGGATGGATGGATAATGGATGGATGGTGGATGGATGGATGGTGGATGGTGGATGGATGGATGGATGGATGCATGGATGCATGGATGGTGGATGGATGGTGGATGGATGCATGGATGATGGATGGATGGATGAATGGATGGTGGGTGGATGGATGGTGGATGGATGGATGGATGGATGGTGGATGGTGGATGATGGATGGATGGATGAATGGATGGTGGATGGATGGATGGATAATGGATGGTGGATGGATGGATGGTGGATGGTGGATGATTGATGGATGGATGGTGGATGGTGGATGATGGATGGATGGATGGATGGATGCATGGATGGATGGATGGATGGATGGATGGATGGATGGTGGATGGATGGATGGATGCATGGATGGATGGATGGATGGATGGATGGATGGATGGTGGATGGATGGATGGTGGATGGTGGATGATGGATGGATGGATGAATGGATGGTGGGTGGATGGATGGATGGATGGATGGATGGGTAGTTTAGAGAGAGGTGAGTGGAGAGAAGGACAGATGAATAGATGGAGAAGGAAGTTTAGACAAATTCAGAGGTGAGAAATGGTGAACTAGGTCACAAGGTATGGCACTTTCTCCACTGCAGCAGAGCTGAGTCGGACATAGGTCTCACCTCCCTCTGCGCCAGCTGGTGTCAGGTTCACCAGGTGGGTGCAGCGGAGCCTGTGGAGAGGAAAGGGTGTGTCCAGGGCTGCTCTTCTGTGAAGGGAACCAGTTTCTCAACAAAGGCCCAGCCTCCGCTGAGCTCTCAGGGTTTCAGGGGACCTGCTCTTTTGTGGCCCTTGGTCCCACGCCCCGGGAGTGTCAGTGTCCTGCCGCCAGCCCCATCTGGTCCTAAATTTAGGGATTCTGATGAGTTAATGCCACATACCTTGGCCACAATTCAGCATTTCTGATAATTAATTAGTTAAATTAATAAAAATGATAGTTTTTTCCTAGACTTAACATGTATGTCCAGTGATTACATTGGCACCATATGAAAATAGCTTAATAAATGATTAACTTAAATAAATAGTAACTCACTTGAAATGCCTGATTTCTTTCTGCAAAAACAGAAATTGCTTTTTCTGAAATCCTTGGCTCCTACATTTAGCAAATCTTTCCAGGACTTCCCTACTCTTTCTTTGGAAATGTGAAAAACGCATAACATGTATTTTATCATCTGCCTCGAGGACCCAGGGAGGAACATTTCAAGAAATTAAAAATAAGAGAAACATGCATAAAACAAAAAACCGCCAACTTGGCTTAAAAAATGACGAAAAGCCACATAAAGCACACTTCTTTACTATTACCCAAATAATGACAATAATAAAAATGATAATAACAACAATAAATGGTGGTTAAATGCGTTACGGACGCACGCCGCGCCAGGCTGCGCAGCTCGGGGTTTACGGTGCAGATTGCCACATTATACACACGACGAACCTGGGATCCATGAAAACAATCCCAAGAGCACCTTAGCACATCATTTTCCAGACTCATTTGGCCAAAGAGACATTCAGAAATATCCATTACCGTGTGCCATAAGCCTGGGGTGGCCAGAGCTGCGGGGGCTGAGAAACAAGAGGCCCCTCCTGCCTCGCCTTAGAGAGAGAGGACACTCACCCTGGCTGTGCTGGGGAGGCCACGTCCCCGACTGACTCGACACCAGCTTCCATGTCCCAGAACCGCCCATGGGCTCTGACCCTCTGACACCACTCCCTCTCCACGCATGGACCCCAGACTCTCATGCACAACCTGAAGACCCCATCCCTGGCACAATCATAGTTCCTCTTGCAAATGCAAACATCAGGTTGTTTGCTTCATTCACGGGAGCTGGTCTCTGCAAATGGGAGCTGTGAAGCGCTGGCCTCCAGTTTCTCGCGGGACTGAGCCACAGAAGACACGGGCTGCTCCTGCGGTCTCCCCGGTGTGTCCCGGGCACCTGCTGCCTCCGTTCTCTGCGGCTTGGTGCTCTGACGCCTGGGGTGGCGCCTGCCCCTCCTCTGGGTGGGTTTCCTTCCCCAACGTTCATGCACAGAATGTTTTCAGCAGTCACAGACCTTCCGAGACGTGGCTGGATGAGAAACACGCCGGCGGACGACAGAGGGTGGCCCCGGACCCACGCTTATGCCCACCCGTCTTCATTCCATAGAGAACACGACCTTTCTGGAGCACCTGGGGCGAACCCACATCTTCCCTGACAAGGCGTAGAACAGGAGCCACCAACCTTCTGGAAAGTTCTCAGCACCAGGAGCTGCAGCCCAGGGCCTGAAAACCTGTTTCCTAATGAAATGACAGAGGAGTTCAGAACTCTCTGATCCACCTGCAAAAGCAGGTCTCTCCTCATTGACAGCAGTGGCCTCAGCACCCAGCGCAGCCTGGCTGTTCCGGGGACCACACCCAGCGGTCAGGAACTGCATCTTCCTGACCCCCTATATTCAGCATCAATCCGGATCTCCAAGTACACCCAACGCCACCGACTGGATCTCCAAGTACACCCAACGCCATCGACTGGATCTCCGAGTACAATGAATGCCATCAACTGGATCTCTGAGTACACCCAACACCACCGACTGGATCTCCGAGTACACCCAACGCCACCGACTGGATCTCCGAGTACACCCAACGCCATCGACCGGATCTCCGAGTACACCCAACACAGCAACTGGATCTCCGAGTACACCCAACGCAGTGACTGGATCTCCGAGTACTCTGAAAGGACTTGATTGGCACTCTGCCTGTGCACATGTCATGATACGTGAAGAATATCTTGAGAACGCGGCTTTTAAAACCGCACCTGACCATGTGGAGATGCTGGTGTTGGGTGGAGGAGGAGCCCTGAGCCAGGGAGCGGCTCCTCAGTAGGCACGTGGGGAACACGCCCTCCCAAGCACCAGAACCACACAAGGCTGCACCGAGACCGGGGTGCGAGACCCTGTGCCAGGCGAGTGCCTGGTTTCCACAAACGCAGAGCAGAGCGTCCCCACGCCTCGGCAGTCTCCTTGCTGAGGGTGCTTCTTCCCTACTGGAGGAGGGAATCCCGCTTCCCCGATGGGACCGCCTTCGCCCAGGGAGCTCCTGGGAGGAGTCCGTCCCGAGTTATCCTGACCCTCTCCTCCTGCCATTGATGTGTGTGGTGATCGGAGCATGAGGCAATGCTGTAGCAGGGCAGGCTGCCTTCCGGGGTAAAGGAAGGTAACCTGGTCTCCCGGGCAGCTGGGCAGCTCGCGTTCCCTTTCCCACATCTTTTAAAGTGAATCAAAGAGAAACAAAGTAATCTTTCAGTCATTTTCTTCCAGACCGCAAGAACAAGAAATAATGTTTGAAAAATGGAAGGGAGCATGTGATCTCTATTCTCACTAAGCAGAACTTCATGGAAATACTGTTCATCGCATAACGATGGATCTTCACTTGCTTATCATTGGATTTTGCCTTGTGTCTCCACTTATTAACTACACAGGCTCAGCAAGTTTTCAGTCTTTATAAAATTGTGCTAACCGTGGGTTGCTGTCATCTTTGGTAACTTTGGAGAAAGGTCTTACTGCGTGTTCTCACCTTTCTGAAGAGCCCTCATGGGGTCCAGCCCATGAGGCGTCCCAACAGGAAAGGGGGTTTGCAGTGAGCCCTGGTTCCACCACAGCTGTTAGAGAGAGTTTGTGCCCCATGCCCAGCTCCCAAAATCCACTTCATCCCCGGAACAGTGCAAGGATAGGAGGTGTGGGGGTGGGTGGGGTCAGAGTCCACCCCCCCGCTCCTGTCCACCCGGATCCCGGTCAGTCATTCTGGGTTCTTTATGGCCTTCAGGGCCATTCCCACTGCTTGACAGCTGCCTTGGGTCTCAGATAAATGTGTCTTTCTTTCCTTTGCCTAACAGCTGCGGCTTTATCTAGCCAGCATATTTATGGAGCATCAATCATGAATGTAAAAGGTGGACAGCTTTGACTGTACATATGGTTGTAGAATATTGGAGAAGAGAGAAAGTCAGCCAATAGGAATTATTGACAGGACTGCACACATAATTTGCAGCTTTCACAAAATATCAATTAAGCCACATGATGGTTTCATCCCTGGGCAGAGACGAAAGCCCGGCAGGTGAGCAGGAGCGAGACAGAGCACCACGGGCCACGTGAGGCCAGGGCACCGCCTGTGAGCAGGAGAGAGACAGAGAACCACGGGGCACGTGAGGCCGGGGCACTGCCCATGAGCAGCAGAGAGACAGAGAACCACGGGGCACGTGAGGCCAGGGCATCGCCCGTGAGCAGGAGAGAGACAGAGAACCACGGGGCACGTGAGGCCGGGGCACTGCCCATGAGCAGGAGCGAGACAGAGCACCACGGGGCACGTGAGGCCAGGGCACCGCCTGTGAGCAGGAGAGAGACAGAGAACCACGGGGCACGTGAGGCCGGGGCACTGCCCATGAGCAGGAGAGAGACAGAGAACCACGGGGCACGTGAGGCCGGGGCACTTCCTGTGAGCAGGAGAGAGACAGAGAACCACGGGGCACGTGAGGCCGGGGCACTGCCCATGAGCAGGAGCGAGACAGAGAACCACGGGGCACGTGAGGCCGGGGCACTTCCTGTGAGCAGGAGAGAGACAGAGAACCACGGGGCACGTGAGGCCGGGGCACCGCCCGTGAGCAGGAGTGAGACAGAGAACCACGAGGCACGTGAGGCCAGGGCATCGCCCGTGAGCAGGAGTGAGACAGAGAACCACGAAGCATATGAGGCCGGGGCACCACCCGTGAAGTCACAGTCACACGTCAGCTGGTGGCACCCAAAGTGTGCAGAGGATGCCACACCCTCAGAGCCTCTTTCTGAGTCGTCCCCTCTGGGAAATCTTTAAAACAAACTGAGCCTGGCACAGCAGGAGAGCTACAATACGTTAAATTTTGGATACAGATCCAGCTACTACAAAAAAAGGAATTTTTTTCTTCAACTTCCTTAGGCAGCATCTAAAGAATCAAAATCAGATTCACCTGTTAGGCTGACAAAAAAAAAAATTGTAAGTGAAAATAGCCAGACACAAAACGTGCATGTGTGTGCACGTGTGCACGTGTGTGTGTGTGTGTCTATACACATACACACGTGTAGACTTCTGATGGAAACTAAGGCTGTGCAGGCAGAAGTGACTGGATAAAGTTTTATTGGAAGCTGAACATGGGGATCCACTTGGGAAGACGCCCACAGAACTGAGCATGTTCTGGGGTCGGCTACTAGGTGGAAGACTTTCTGGAAAAGTTTAGGAGAAGGGAGGGGACTCCTCACAACAGAGGCATCCTTCTCATGGGGGGACAGGTTGGAGGGCACAGCCAGTGCACACAGATCATACCGTGAGGGCTAAAACGTCTCCATGCAAGGCAATCAGAAAGCTTCATGATTCCGAAACAAACCAGCAAAGCTTCGTGATTCAGAAGCAAGTCAGCAGAATGTCATGACACAGAATCAGATCAACATTTCACGGTTCAGAAACAAATCGGCATCCTTTCAGTGTCAGTGGGTGCCGATCAGTGCGTCAACAGCCGGAGAAGCTGATGGTGAGATTCTCCACTCAGGGGCAGGGTGTGCCCACGAGTCACAGACGTCTCCAAAGCCAGTTAATTTGGAAGCAGGTTTATGTTTAAACTGCCAAATGTGACCTAAAGGTTACCAAGACCCCCTCTCTCCTCTCTGTCTCTCTCTCTCTCACACACACACACACACACACGCCATCTTACATACTCTATGATTCCACTTATAAGATTTTGTCACCCCAGGCTTGGGCCTGAGTCCCTCGACCCTTTCTGCGATCTCCCCGATGCCTCGCACTTGGCCATCGGGATTCACTGACTTTACCTAAAGAGAAGCCGCCCCTGAGCAGCCCCCTGACCCGGCATTTTCCAGCTGGCTCGGTGCATCTCAGCGTGAGACCCACACGTGGGGCGCCTGTGAGGACTGCAGAGGGGGACACAGGTCCCATCCACCCCAAGGCTGCCCCAAAGCATCTCATGTCATTGTTATGTTTTATGTATGGGGCACTCTGGTAGAAATTCTGTACTGGAAAACTATCTCCCCACTAAAACCAAACAAACAGGCAGCTTTCGGGGGCCTTCGTAACGCCTCCTACCTCACCTCCTAATGCCTCTCCTCACCAGGTTTCTGGTCTCCCGGAGCAACCTGCAAACCATCAGTCCTCAGCCTCCTCCTCACTGATGCCCCAGGCCCACAGGCTCTGGGGTTAGGACAGTGCCTGCTGCCTAGCGCTGGTCTGGGAGATGCCCTGGCCAGGGGGCAGGAGCCGCACGGGAGGGCTGAGGGCCGGGAAGTGCCGTGGGGCGGGGAGCATGGATGTCAGCAGGATGATTTTTGACACTTTATTTACACAGATGTCTCGATTGTACCATTAGATGAGTTTGTCAAGTTCCCCTGTAAACAACACCCCAAATAAGATATGAAATATTTCCAGCTCCTACAGTTTCCCCAAGCCCACCCACGCCAGGGCCCTCCCGGCTCCTCCCACAGCCACAGCGCTGAGTACCTGTGCAAGAAAGTCCTGCTTCTCCCGGATCAGATGGCACGGGATAGCCTGGCACACAGGCAGCCTGCGGGGCTGGCACGGACGCTTCTGTCCGGTGTTTTTGCTCGAAGTATCTTTTGAGATTCATCCACTAGATTGTGGACGCCAGAAGTTCATGCATTTTCATTGCCCAGTGGCCTTCCATGTGTGGTTAGACACACTTTCTTTAACTGTTTCCTGTTGAGGAATGCTGGACAATTCCAGGTGTGGCCTGTTACTGTGAGTGACCCCGCCCAGGACTGTGGACAATTCCAGGTGTGGGCTGTTACTGTGAGCGACCCCGCCCAGGACTGTGGACAATTCCAGGTGTGGGCTGTTACTATGAGTGACCCCGCCCAGGACTGTGGACAATTCCAGGTGTGGGCTGTTACAGTTAAAGCCCCTTTGAGAGACCCTGTCCAGGACTATTTGTGGAAGACATTTACATTTTGCTGGGCACAGGGCAGGTGTACATATAGTTGTGGGGGACCTGCCATGCTATGGTCAAAGTGCCTGTGCCTGTGCACCTCCTCCCCGCCGGCGACGTGAATATTCCAGATGTTCCAGACCCTCCCGGCACAGGGTGGGGCCAGGATCTTCACATCCAGTTATTTCAACGTGCGTCACACAGCATCCCATTATGATGAATGTGCATTTCCTGATGGCCGAGGATACTGAGTGCTTTCAATTTGCTTATTGGTCATTCTTGTATCACCTTTTGTCTAATGTCTGTCTTGTCTGTTTTTTTAAAAAGGTATATTTATTGATTTGTAAAGGAAGGACCTTTATATTTTGATATATGTCTTTCAGATTTTATATGTATGCAAATATTTTATTACAATTTGTTTCTTTTTGTTTTTTAATGGTGTTTTTATTTAAAGCAGCAGAATTGGTAGCTAACAGAATAGTCCCTATGAGTAACATGAAGGGCAAACGTCACATCACCATGTTAACAGACTCGGGAAGTGTATCTGAAGAAGTCCAACCTCCATTCATGAATAACAATTTTCAGCAGACTTCTCTGGGGGCCTTCCTCCACCTGTGGGAGTCGTACATCCAGAAGCCGAGTGAGCTGGAAGGACCCCAGTGGGGATGGGCTATGGTTGGAGACCCTGGTATGAACCCCAGTTTAGCTTGACATAGACACAGATGGTTCCATGCAGAATATTTATAGACATGTATGTGCATGGATTAGCATTCACACACATTCCCTTGCTCTGTCAGCTGAGAATAAAAATGAGGATCATTATTACTATTACATTCTCATCTAGGCCTTTAAATAGCAGCTCCAGTTGTAAACCTCTCTAAGGGGCTCTGGATTAACTGCGTGAGAGTGATGAGGGGAAAAGGTCTTTCTCATCTCCATCTGACCTACCCATCTACCAACCAAGCTGGACACTGACTGTCCTTCCGTCCTCTCCCCAGATGAGTCATTGCAAACAGAAGCCCCAGAAAGACTCCATGAAGAATGGTAGTGAGTTTGGTGCAAAGGAAAGATTTAGTGAAAATGACACTTAGTTCATTAACTATTCACGGTGGAGCAACCCATGTGCAGAAAACAAGCCTCAGCCCAGCTGGGCTCTCCCTGGGTCTTACTCCTCCACTGAACTCCCTCGGACGCCTGCAATGAGAAGCCCCTCATGCCAAGCCTCACCTGCCCCTTCCCCTCTGCCACCCCCTGCACCACACAGACTACACAGTTACTCTGTAACTCAGCTATCTGTGGACAAAACCAAAAGAATGGCCTGTATTTGCAACTCACTCTTGATTTCTCCCATTTATAACGCCAGGGAGCTATATTAGTCGCTCCTCAATAAAATACCACAGTCTGGGTGGCCCCTTTGTGGGTGTCCACGTGAGCATGTTGGCCACGAGCCTTCAATTGAACTTGACGTCACTGCATTCTCTGCAGAGTGACAAGGAGGTAGGAGCACCGGCCACGAGTGAGTTAGGGTTTCGCACACAGAGATGGCATGAGAACAGGGATGCTGGCACGTCACTTGGGTGTTTGCTGGAAATGCAGAGTCTCAGGCCCACCTCAGGCCTCCCGGGCTGGAATCTGGATTTTAACATGGGCATCTACACCCTGAAGGGTGGGAAGCTGGGCTTACAGGAGAGACTCAGGGAACGTGAGGCCAGGGTGGCCGGGGCCCTCCCAGGCCTCATGGACTTGTCGTGTCCGTGGACATCATCTGCACCTCCGTCCGTGCCCGCCACTTGTCAATCCATGTCCTTTGTCCTAAGAGCGTGGCCAGAGTCGCCAAATAGACCTTTTGTGTGCGGCCGAAGCTCACACCCAGGAACCTATGGGGCAGGCTGACTCCGTCACTTCCACACAAAGGGCAGCGCTGCTGAAGTCCACAGGCCCGAATCCATTGCTGGTGTTACAGGCAGAGTCGTGCTCCTCCCGAATTCATGTGTTGAAGCTCTAACCCCAAGCCCCAAAGAATGTGACTGTTTTGGGACATAGGACCTTTTAAAAAGGGTGATAAAGTTAAAATGAGGTGACCAGTGTGGGCTCTAATCCAACCTGCCTGGTGTCCTATATAAGAGGAGATGAGGACACAGACACCCACAGAGGGACGATGCTGTGAGGACACAGCAAAGAAGCTCCATCTGCAAGCCACGGAGAGTGGCCTCCACAGAGCCCAGCCCTGCCGAGACCCGGATCTCAGTCTTCTTCCCTTCAGAGTGCTGAGAAAATACACTTCTGTTGTTTAAGCCACCCAGGATGCGATATTTCGCTGACCAACACAGCTCCCTGGCATTGCAAAAGGGAGAAATCAAGAGTGGGTTGCAAATGTAGGCCATTCCTTTGGTTTCGTCCATGGATAGCTGAGTTACAGAGAAAGAGGGTTTCTGGACGTCTGAGTACTTGCACTCCAAACTCCAGCTCCACGAGGTTATCAGAGAGCCACCTCCACTGTTGACACTGGTTTCCCCCTCGGCCTGCCTTTCCTTTGTATTCCCTGGGCTCAGCAAGCAATGCCGCTTTCCATCTTTTTTGTCTCTCCAAAGAAATGAGAACTTAATACACACCAGCCTTGAACTGGGGATCACGTGTTGCCAAGAACACTTAAGAGCAGACAACGCACTTTGAGCTGGATGGAAGCACCACACCCATGCATGGCCTACATGCCCCATGCACACAGCAGCTGCAATACAGGGCAACAGCTCCCAAGGTCAACCTGTGCTTCTCCTACTCCAGATGTGGGATCAAGCATTTCCCCAAGGGTCCTGGTCCCAGGGAAGGGTATTCACAAGCAAAGGTCTTCATGCTGGACTCCAGGACACAGACAAGGAACAGAGGCATCCCTGCCGAGGCTGGGAGTGGGGGATGGGGAGGGGATGGGTGGGGGATGGGGGGATGGGGAGGGGATGAGGAAGGGATGGGGGATGGGGGATGGGGTGGGGAGGGGAGGGGTGGGGGATGGGGAGGGGATGGGTGGGGGATGGGGGATGGGTGGCACCTCACTCTGGAGCGAGGACAGAAACCCTTGTGAAGGCCATGGCAGGATGGGGGCACAGGCCCCATGAAGTCCAAAGACAGAGACCAGGGAACTGCCCCTCCCCAACCCTTCCCTCCCCTCTAACTGACAAGCTCTGGGATAACTGGATTACAGCTAAGAGACCTGAGAGACACAGGCTGTCCGAGGAACAGCAAAGGAAAGCCCAAAACCACAAAGGGAGACAAAAGGAGGTCACAGAGGGATCTGAAGTTATACACACACACAGCTACAGCAAACACAGCCCGGCCCTGGGCAGGGTTAATGCAAATCTCCAATTCACAACCTATTTATTCAGAATCGATTGCCCTCAGCCAGGTGCGGTGGCTCACGCCTGTAATCCCAGCACTTTGGGAGGCTAAGGCGGGTGGATCATTTGAGTTCAGGAGCTCAAAACCAGCCTGGCTGGCATGGTGAAACTCCATCCCTACTAAAAATACAAAAATTAGCCAGGCATGGTGGCGAGCATCTGTAACCCCAGCTATTTGGGAGGCTGAGGCAGGAGAATTGCTTGAGCCTGGGAGGCAGAAGTTGCAGTGAGCAGAGATCATGCCATTGTACTCCAGCCTGGGTGACAGCATGAGACTCTGTCTAAAAAAAAAAACAAAACCAGAATCTATTGCCCTCTAGGAGATGTCCAGCCTGCCAAAAAAAAAAAAAAAAAAAGGAAAAAGCAAATTGAACCCCAAATGAGAACTACTACCCACACCAATTAGAATGGCTAAAATGCAAAATTCAAGCACCACCACCCAGTGCTGATGAGGTTGTGGAGCTACAGAATTGCTGTCAGAACTGCAAAATGGCACAGCCACTGTGGAAGACAGTTGGGCAGTTTCTTAGAATGTGGAACAGAATCTTACCACAGGATCTGGCCATCACAGCCCTAGCTATTTACCCAGCTGGCATGAAAACTTGTTCACACAAAAACCTGCATGTAAATATTTACAGTTGTTTTATTCTTAATCTCTAAAAACTGGGAGCAACCAAGATGTCTGCTATGGACGGAGGGTTTGTGACCCCCCAGAATTGGTACATTGAAGCTCTGCCCCATGTGATATGTCTGGAGACAGGACCTTTGGGGGTGATTAGGTCATGAGGGTGGGGCCCTAGTGAATGGGGTTAGTGTCCTTACAAGAAGAGACACCAAAGCTGACTCCCTCTCTCCAATGTGAGCACAAGTCAGAAGGCAGCTGCCTGCACATCAGAAGAGGCCTCAGAATGAATATGCAGCCAGCACCTTGAGCTTCCCAGCCTCTAGAACAGCAAGAAATAAATTTCTGTTGTGTAAGCCTCCCAGTCCATGGTGTTTTGTTCCAAACTGCCCAATACAATGGTCTCCCCCAGGGAAATGGAGAACACGTGCTTCTCAGTGCAGTAGGAGCTGCGGAGAGATAAAAGGAACCAGCTATTGATTCACATAGCAACAATGATGAATCTTAAATGTGCTCTACTAAGTGAAAAACCCATATACATGATTCATGGGCTACATATCACATGATTCCATTCATATGATACTTTGGAAAAATTAAAACTATAGGAATGAACAGACTAGGGCCGGGGTGTCCAATCTTTTGGCTTCCCTGGGCCACACTGGAAGAAGAATTGTGCCTTGGGCCACACATAAAATATACTAACACTAACAATAGCTCTTGAGCAAAAAAAGTCCATGTATAAATCTCATAAGGTGTTAAGAAAGTTTACGAATTTGTGTTGGGCCACATTCAAAGCCATCCTGGGCCGCATGCAGCCCACGGGCTGTGGGTTGGACAAGCTTGGACTAGCAGTTGCCAGGGGCTGGGGAGAGGAGTGCTTGGCCATCGGCGGACACACGAGGAGCTCTTCTTTCTGGCACTGGGGTGGTAACACATGACTGCACATCACAAAGCGCGGACAGTAATGAGGGCGAACTTAAAGAAACAGGAAGCTGACCTGAGTAACTTCAGAATATGATGTTTTGAGTGGAAATTGTAAAGCTAAAGACAAAAGGACATTAATATCATTCCTTTGTTGGTAAATTTCCCACAGGGGTACAAGTTAACAATTCACATACACTGGGATTGAACAGATAAGTCAACGGATGGCAAACCATGGGAGGCAGGCTTCTTGTGTTGGAGGGGAAGGTTATTTGTAAATAAGAGGAAGTTTAGACTGAACCCTGTGGTACTAGATGAGAATCAGAGACATCAGTGTGAACTCATGTTTAGCTTTGCATCGATATAAGGATGGACAGATCCAGAGATAATCTGAAGTATGTGTTCACACATAGGGTATTATCTGCACGCACATTACGCAGCTCTCTTCACTGACAGGGCTGGAGGCAGTGACACCCTCGTCCCACTGAGCACACCCAGCACCCAGGTTTCTGTTTCTAAATATCATTCTCCAATGAGGGGAACCACGGCTGATTCTAGGGTGGATCAGAGAGAAGACAAGATGAGCCTGGAGTATCTCATGATATCAAAAAGTAAGGAAATTTTCAAAAAAACAAAAGGATGGGGGATTGTCCAATGGACACAGATGCCAACGTGAAAGGGCTGCCAATGGCCAAAGATGGAAAAATTTGAACAACAAAAGAAATAATATATTGGATGATTGAATTATAATAAAAAATATACAGTAAATATCATGAGCCCATACTGGTATAAATAATTGAATAAACAAGTAAATGTGGAGAAGAGGCAAATCTTTCTTACTCCAAATAACATCATATGATCATATGTAGCAGCCCCTCCAGGAGATGGAGTTTAACTCTTCCCCAGCCCTCCCCTGAAGGTAGCACAGGCTTCGTGACTCATCCCAAAGAGTGGAGCGGTGGAAGGGAAGACAGTGACTTTACAGCGAAGACACCTGGCGGACGCCACCTGATCCAAGTGTTAGAAGATAAACGTAGGCACGTGAAAGTGTAAAGAGTTATTTGAGGAGACAGGAATCCATGAGCTGGGCAGCACTGAACTACAGCAGTTTGGGCTCTACCAAGGAGCACAAGGAAAACCTTCATCAGTGTTCTTGGAAGGAAGAACAGAAAAAGGATGGATTGAAGTGAAACAGCAGTCACACGGCCTCTGCTTTGAGGTTAGCTGGCAGTTTCTGTTTAAACTTGAATTTTCTTTCCTAGGACAGGACCCCTTACCCTGAATGGGGTTTCTGTGTGCAGGAACTGGGTTTGCTTCTGAGGTACTGAAGCCCTCAGCCTAGTGCCTCCCGATGCGTTATTTTCACACAAGCGATCGGGTTAACGCCACCTGTGAAGTCAAGAGGATGTTCTATGCCCCTGAGAGGCCGTGAGGGGAAGAACATTTCACCTCCTTGGTATTATTTGCGGAAGCCCACCACCTCAGGCTAACCATGAGGAAAAGGACAGATGAACCCAGACTGAGGGGCATCCACAGGGTGCCCAACAGTCTCCTCCACACTGCCAGGGTCATGGCAAAGGAGAGACAGAAATGTCACAGACCAGAGAAGCCGAGGACACAGGAGGATCAGACACGACGTGGCACCCCAGGTGGGGTCACAGCAGAGAGAGGACATGGATGGAAGCTCTGAAATCCGAAGGCTGGAGTTTAGCTCGTGGCGATGCAACGCGGCTTTCTTGGCTGCTGCAGGTGGACCATGGCAGCGAAGACGTGGAAGCTGAGGGAAATTAGCAGCAGCTTGCAGAAACTGCCTGCACAATCTTCATAACCCTTCTGAAAATCTACAACTATTCAAAATTAAAAAGTATTTGAAACTGACAATGACAAACAGGCACTGCCAAGTTTCCGCCGGCCTCACACTCTCTGTGGTTATTCAGTCCATAAATGACGGCAGGAGGGGGATCAGCTACTCTCTGATCTTGAAAGGCAGAGGGCACCTCCCAGCCTCTTGACCTGGAAGAATTCCAAACAAGCTTCAGGGTTCCAGGCTGTTGCGTAAATCGTCTGCCATTCGAGTGATTGCAGTTCAGATGATTCCAAATAATTAGCAATTACATCTCCTTTTGCCCCCCCTCCAATGACTGAAAATGAGCTTTGATCATTAATACCTATTTGGGAAGCTGAGAATTCTCTAAAAGAACTAAAACCTGGCAACTTCCCTATGCAAAAACTAATTAATGATTCAATTAATAAAAATAAAGAGACTCTTCGTCACGTCTTTAAAGAAACATGGCCCAGAGATGGCACTAATGAAGAATACAGCCATGTCCAGACCTGCGGGGCCCAGAGCTCCACCAGAAGTCACATGCCCCTGGCAAGGCCCCTGCCCCAGGAACCTCCCTTCCTGTGTCCTGATGGGACAGTGGATTTACTGGGAATGTTAACAGAACCACCACACTCATGGCAAGTGCAAAATGTGCCCTGGCAGACCTGAGTTTGTTTCCTTCCGGTGAGTTCTGCCTGGACTGTGAAGTCTCCCAGGGTGAGGGGGGCAAGTGACCCCACACTGTGCCTGTGCCCACCTGTCCAGAGCTCTGGACTGTGGAGTCTCCTCGGGGAGACAAGCTGACCCCACACCGCGCCTGTGCCCCCCTGTGCCAGAGCTCTGGACTGTGGAGTCTCCTCGGGGAGACAAGCTGACCCCACATCGCGCCTGTGCCCCCCGTCCCAGAGCTCTGTTCTCTGGTCTCCTGGAGGCTCTGAAGTCCATTGGAAAGATCACCCCAAGCCAACACACCTCCACGCGCAGAGCTCACATCCCAGGGCCCCCGGGGGCTTCGCACTTTCCTGGCATGCCTAGGATTTTTCTGTGGCTTCAGGGGCTGCTCTTATCAGCTTGACCCAGCGCAGCAGGTGGGTGAGTTGGGAAGTCAGCGTCTCACTTTGTGCAGACACAGTGTGGGGGACCGTAAGAAGATTTCTACCTTCAGCTGTGACAGCCGGAGCTCCCGGAGGACGTGGGCACATGGGGAGAGCCAAGTGAAGGGTCTGGCCTGCGATGCCCTTGTAGCCGGGCCGAGGTTGGGCAAGGCGCTCTACCCACAGTCGCTCTGGTTTGGCCTCTACATGGCCCTGGGAGGTTGAAGCCGCTCTCTGTGAATTCCTTCCCGGGGCACTGAGGCTGGAGGGACGTGCCCAAGACCCAAGGTCCAGTGAGAGTTGCTGACAGCTTTTGGTGACCAGGAGCTGTGGGACAAGCCTCTTTGTACTTACACAGGGTGGTTTCTCAACGCAATGCTCACTCATGGAGCCCAGCTCTGCCCCAGTTTGGAGATCCTCATCCTGGTAAGGTGTGGGAATGTGGGTGACGACTGCTCCATCTCATCAGTGCCACCTGCTCCTTCTGCCTATTCTGAGAAGGACCTACACTTCAAACAGGTGTGGGGAAGGCAAGGACCCTACCAGGGCCTGCCCAGTGAATAGCTGTTGCAGGAAATTCGTTTAAGCCTGGGCATATTTATTCATTTATTAATTAATGCTTCCTTGGGGGCATTTTATCTTCCAAAATCTTCCACAGCCCTGGGATTCTTCCAGATTCAGTCAAGTGCATCCTCATGGTGATGTGTGGCCAGCAGGCGTCCCTGCAGACAATTCGAGGCTGAGCCAACAGAGCCAGTGGGAAGGAGCCCTTCGGCCCGTGCTACCCCTCAGCACACACTCCCAGCACCAGCTCTCCAGCTGCTTGGCCAAGACCCAGGGGCCTCTGACCTCCCGGGTCCCTGCCCAGCTCACCCCAGAGCCCTGCCAAGGAGCTCTCCCAGGGCAGCGTCACCTGGAACCGCTGGTCACGGCCAGCCCCACCCACCCAGGTGCGCAACGGAGGCACATGTGCCCTCGTGCCCCAGTGAAGGGCAGGGACTCAGGAAACACCGTCAGCAGAGGCGGCCCCTCGCCAAATTCATGACTCCTTCGTTAAACTAGTTCTTCCCAAAGATGGCAACACACAGCATGGCCTAAAACATCCTCCGAGGTGAGAGTGGGGTCCCCGGAGGTAAGATGTGCCTCTGCCTTTCCAGCAAGGGGGCCTGGGCAGAGGGGGCCATGTCTATCTCAGGTCCCCTGCCGTCTGTGATGGGGCTGGCACCAGGACCTCAGCTGCTGTTCCAGGGACACGGCCCAAACCATGCCTGGAGAAGGGCACAGGCCGCCATAGCTGAGCCCAAGAATTCCAAGCTGCAGTCGCAGTTCCAGGCCACACAGAGCCCAGGGCCAGTGCTCCCAACTCCCCAGGCTCCGAGAAGCAGCGAGGCTTCAGCTCCCATAAAATTAACTTAGTACCTGGAGAGGACACTCCTAAGCCCGGCTCAGCCTTGGCCTCCCGGAAGCATGTGCTTCTCTCTTCCCACGCCTGGAGGGTGGATGCCCCCTGCATGTTCCTCTGAATCGGTAATCAGCCCCATGAGTGCCCGTCTAAACGTTTCCTTCATGGAGACCAAAAAATAACTGTGCACATTTTTCCCAAGACTGAAGTTGTAAATTACAGGCACCCTTCAACCAATTGGCTCCTCATCAAGGAAATTAACAATCTCTCTGATTGCTAACAGATTTCCTTTCCTCCACCATTTGTTTATCCTTTATCCTGTAGTTTTCCATAAATGGTTCCTCTAAAGTAGCAAATACGAGTTACGTGGAAAATGGCAAAACAGGAAAAAGGCAAATCTCCCTGTGCCCCTCCCCCCTGACCCGAGTCAGGTCCAAGTTGGGCTTTGTCCAATGTCCTCACGGCTGTGGATGGTGCTGTGTCCCCCAAAAAGATAGTTGAAGTTCTAACCCTCACACCTGAAAATGTGACCTCATTTGGAAATAGGGTCTTTGCACATGTGATCAAGTTGAAATGAGCTCATCCATTCGGTGTCCTCATAAGGAGAGAGAGATTTGGGCAGAGACACAGGGATAACACCATGGACAGATGGAGGCAAAGGTGGGTGATTCATTCACCAGGCAAGGAACACCAAGGGTTGCCAGGAACACCAGAGGAAGAAAACCAGCATGGAAGGGCTTCTTCCATGGAGCCTCCAGAGGAACCAGCTGCTTGACCTTGGACTCTCGGCCTCCAGATTGTGAGGGTCACCAAGGACTCCTTCCATAAATTCAAAATCGCAAAGCCGCAGTTTCCAGGCCTCCTGGTTGGGATAGCATCCATTCACAGAAAGAGCAGCTCTGTGCACGTCAGTGAAGGCACTGAGGGCTTACCCGGGCAACAGAAGCTTCAGGACTCTGAATCCCTAAATCCCATGTCAGTGAAGGCATTGAAGGCAACAGAAGCTTCGGGACTGTATCCTAAAATCCCTGACCTCAGGGTAGTGCATTTCTGTTCCCAGTATTGAGTTACTGCAGTTTCTGAGAACAACTCCAAGTTGGCAAGGACAGTTCCCTCATGCTAGCTGCATCTGTATTAGTCCATTTTCATAATGCTATGAAGAAATACCTGAGACTGAGTAATTTATAAAGAAAAAGAGGTTTAATGGACTCACAGTTCCACATGGCTGGGGTGGCCTCACAATCATGGCGGAAGGTGAAGGAGGAGCAGAGGCAGGTCTTACATGGTGGCAGGCAAGAGAGCCTGTGCAGGGAAATTCCTGTTTATAAAACCATCAGAATCTCTTGGGACTTATTCACTATCACAAGAACAGCATGGGAAAACCCGCCCCCATGTCTCAATTACCTCCCACTGGGCCCCTCCCAGACACCTGGGGATTATGGGAACTACAATTCAAGATGAGATTTGGGTGGGGACACAGCCAAACCATATCAGCATCTTTCTGGGTGTCACAACTGCCTATGGAGCAGTTTGGTGGAACAAGCAGGCCTTGGTAACACAGGATATTTCAGAGACCATGGATGATGATGTAGCCACCCACCTTCCCAGGCCACAGAAATGGAAAAGCCAGACACGCTGAAAATGAACTCAGTCCTTCCTATCAGCAAGTAATATGATCAAATGGAAGAAAAATGTATTAAATAATGGATTATAATGAATGTGAGCAAATTAAACTACAAAACATAAGGCTGGAAAGACAACCTTCTTTTTAACAGAAATGTACCAAAAGGGGAAATGTTATAACTTTCTATGAGAATTGATCAATAATTTGGCAATCACAAAGTTAATGAAGTGTTTCTATTTCTTTTTGAATGACTACATAATTTGAGAAATTAACAGGTTGAAATGCCCCCTCCCAACTTCCCAGGAGGCAGGTCTGGAACCAGTTCCCCCATGCCCTGTGCCCCTAGTCAATATGGACATTTATTTCTCACAGTTCTGGAGGCTGGAAGTCTGGGGTCAAGGTTGTGGCCAATCCTGTGTCTGGCAAGGCTGCTTCCTGGTTTGCAGACACCATCTTCCTCCCTGTCCTTAGCAGAGAGGAAGGGTGGTGAGTAGAGAGAGAAGAGGCTGGTTCTGGTGTTTCTTCTTACAAGGGCACTAATCCCCTCATGGGGCTCCACCCCATGACCTAATCACGTCCCAAAGGTCCCATCTCCAAACACCATCCCACTGGGGTTTAGGATTTCAACGTAAGGATTTGGGGGGACGCAAACCTTCAGCCCACAGCAGTGCCCTTGGTCCTACCCCTTCCTCTCCTAGACTTCCTCCATAGGAGTTCGGCAGGCACTCCTGGTCTTCCTTTATCTTCTTGCAGAAAGATGGCCCGGCAGGTCTGTGACAACATTCACACCCACAAGGTCAACCAGGAAGAAACTGAACCTGATGCAAATAGAGACAGAGTCGCACCTGTGAGAAACAAACTCACCCGTCCAAACACAAAGACTGGACGCAGAGACCCGGAGAACAGCAAAACGGAGATTTTCAATGACAGTCTTGCAAGACTGGGTGTCTGGCTGGCATGCAGCCACCCCCAGCAGAGTTTCAACAAGCAATTTATCCCCTAGTGCGCAGGTCCCTCCCCCAGTTCCTCATTGACTGAGTAAATGGGGTTACGATCTTCCTGGACATCACCTATTGGTCGTTGGATTAAGATTTCAAGTCTGTTCTTTAGGATCTTTCTGCTGCATTTTATTGCAGCCCACCATGCATTGCAACTGTCTCAGGACTCTTCAAACATTTGACTATGGCCCTGGTGGCTGCACGTAGCTGATAAGAAAGGGTATAATTATTTATGTTGCAAGCTAGCCTAAACTAAATTCTTTGGTGGGGTGAGGAGAGGGTAGTTGAGGGGGCTCCTACTGATAGGCACGTGGCCGCTGGGTGAAAGGGAAAGCAGGAAGGAGGGCAGGGTGGTGACTCAGTACATTTCTGCTTCTTTATTTCTCTATTTCCACATAGCCTGCTTAAACCTATATGAAGGCACTTAGAACTGAAAATGGACCACCACATATAGGTTATTTTCTACACACCTACCTGTCAGCGACCGATCTTGCTCAGACGCATCCTTAACCAGCATGACCAGTCAGAGCTTCAGCCACACAGCAGCCTAGGGAGCTTCTTCATGCCAACATTCCTTACCTCTGTTTATTAATCTACCTACTTACCTGTAGAAGTTCATCCGTCTTAAGGACTTAGGAAAAATGTCTTGAGATTTTGGTCATGCTCATCCTTATGTTTTGAGGAAAGGGGTGCTCAGAATGAGTTGATGTGGCTTCGTCTGACACAAGCTGTCATAAACCCCATGCCCCGTCATCAACCCCACACCCCGTCATCAACCCCACACCCTGTCATTGACCCCACGCTCTGTCATAAACCCCACGCCTCATCATCAACGCCACACTCCGTCATTAATCCCACACCCCATCATAAACCCCATGCCCCATCATCAGCCCCACACCCCATCATCAGCCCCACACCCCATCATCAGCCCCAAGCTCCGTCATAAACCCCACGCCCCTTCATCAACCCCACACCCCATCATCAACCCCACACCCCATCATCGACCCCACACATGCCCCGTCATCAACCCCACACCCCGTCATCAACTCCACACCCCATCATCAACCCCATACTCCGTCATCAACCCCACACCACGTCATCAACCCCACACCCCGTCATCAACCCCAGGCCCCGTCATCAACCCCATGCCCCATCATCAACCCCACACCCCATCATCAACCCTACGCCCCATCATCAACCCCATACCCCGTCATCAACCACACACCCCGTCATCAACCCCAAACCCCATCAACAGCCCCACGCCCCGTCATCAACCCCATGCCCCGTCATCATCCCCACACCCCATCATCAACCCCACGCCCCGTCATCAACCCCACACTCGGTCACCCGTCATCATCCCCACACTCCATCATCAACCCCACGCCCCGTCATCAACCCCACACTCCGTCACCTGTCATCATCACCACACTCCATCATCATCCCCACACTTCATTACCCATCATCATCCCCACACTCCATCACCCGTCATCAATCCCACACTCCATACCCATCATCATCCCCACACTCCATCACCCATCACATCCCCACACTGTATCACCCGTCATCAACCCCACACTCCATATCCATCATCATCCCCACACTCCATACCCATCATCATCCCCACACTCCATCATCAACCCCACGCCCCGTCATCAACCCCAGACTCCGTCACCTGTCATCATCACCACACTCCATCATCATCCCCGCACTTCATCACCCAACATCATCCCCACACTCCATCACCCATCATCAACCCCACACTCCATCACCCATCATCAACCCCACACTCCATCATCATCCCCACACTCCATCACCCATCATCATCCCCACACTCCATCATCCGTCATCAATCCCACATTCCATCATCATCCCCACACTCCATCACCCATCACATCCCCACACTCCTCTATCACCCGTCATCAACCCCACACTCCATACCCATCATCATCCCCACACTCCATACCCATCATCATCCCCACACTCCATCATCAACCCCACGCCCCGTCGTCAACCCCACACTCCATCACCCGTCATCATCCCCACACTCCATCATCATCCCCACACTCCATCACCCATCATCATCCCCACACTCCATCACCATCCCCACACTCCATCACCATCCCCACACTCCATCACCCATCATCATCCCCACACTCCATCACCCGTCATCATCCCCACACTCCATCATCATCCCCACACTCCATCACCCATCATCATCCCCACACTCCATCACCATCCCCACACTCCATCACCATCCCCACACTCCATCACCCATCATCATCCCCACACTCCATCACCCGTCATCATCCCCACACTCCATCACCCATCATCATCCCCACACTCCATCACCCATCATCATCCCCACACTCCATCACCCGTCATCATCCCCACACTCCATCACCCATCATCATCCCCACACTCCATCACCCGTCGTCAACCCCACACTCCGTCACCTGTCACCAACCCCACACTCCATCACCCATCATCAACCCCACACACGCCCCGTCATCAACACAGCAGCACAGCGTTTCCTCCAGGAGAAACACCAAGATCTCACGTCCCATCCACAGGCTGAGGCTGCTGCTCCTGCAGGAACCTGGTGCAGTGTAGCAATTCCACATCCTGAAATTGCTCATCAAAACTCCTATTAAAGTGTCAAACAGTGAATAGCTAAAATACCACTTTGCTTGAACAGTGAAGAGGTTGGAAGGAAAACGTTAACTGTATCAGAGAATATGGACTCCTAACATACAGGGAGTCAGGTTCATTTTGAAGTCACTCTTCTTCCAACAGATTCACTAAGGCTCTTTGTCAACACAAATTGAAAACCGTTAAAAAAAAAAGTAATTATGATGCTTCCTGCCCTCCATGAAAGGACCACATACAGACACCACGCTCATATCTGAGGCCCTGGGGTAGCCTTTAATGGCCCAGCAGAATGGCCAGAACCGTTAGAGGAAACATTTAATAAAGTCTGGAGTCAGAGCCCTGCGGGTCTAGCTGGATTCCTGGAGGTGCGGCCCAGAAGCCAGCGGGAGGGAATTGGAGGCCGGAGGCTCAAACTGTCCCCACTTCCACCAAGGGCCCCTCCTCCAACAGCTTCCAGGCTGCCAAAGCCCCTGCATCACCTCCAGGGTCCCCTGGGTCCAGCCTCATGCTTCCCATAATGAGTTTTTAAACCACAACGCTGCATCAGGTGACATCTCTTCTGCAGGCTGTGCGCGTCTCCAGGGGGAAGGGGGCTGTGTCTTTGGGACAGTTTGTGCTCTCAATCACTTGACTGCTGACAGGCACCTCAGCTGAATGGTGTGATTTATGCAAAGATTGTGCTGAATTATTTAAAGCATTCTCTATTTAAAGAACAGAGAATATTTAATTAGCATTCTGCTGTGCTTAATTGAAGACTCACAAATCAATTAAAACTGCTTACCTTTTGGCAGTTCAGTAACTTCACAGAAACCTCCCAGGAAATGCATCCTATTCACAGCTGGGTTCATCCTATACCCAGCGACCTGTGGCCAGTGTGGCGCTGTGATTAGAGGCGGCTCAGCGCCTTCAGAGGAGCGGCCTGGCTGTGCGCACATTAGAGAAAGGCTTCCATCGTCGTTGGTCCTCTTTCTCACAGGGACTCTGGGGTCTTGGTGCCGGGAGATGCAACCGCCTCTGGCAGCCCGGCTTCATTTTAGGGACAGTGACTATGGAGAAACCCAGGTCTGACCCATTTTCTCCAGAGGGGAGGGAGCCACAGGGAAAGGCCCCTTGTTGCTCTGTTGGCCCTGAGTGCCTCCCAGGAAAGGTCAGAGCACAGACTCAGCCCTGGGAGGGCCGAGAGATCCCGCTGGACCCTGCCCTCCTCGACACTCTGGACAAGATGCAGAGAGTGGGGTCCTGGCAGCAAGATCCCGTGGGAGTGGGGCCTTGGAGCTCAGGGCCAGACCGAGGGGGTGCTCATTGCTGGCTCTGGCCTACAGACACGTTGACATTGGCACCACACGGGCCAACTGAAACCCTAAGAGAAAACCCAGCGTCCCCTGGCCAGAGCCACCAGAGGACAGAGCTCCCAATGAGCCCAGCTGCTAGAAAAGAAGGTGGAGTCCCAGGCAGAAGAGTTCTTCAGGCTGAATGGAAATGATTCCAGAGGGAAATGCAGATATGAAGAAGGAGATAAAGAGCTCCAGAAATGGCAAATAGCAGGGTGAGCCTACGCGACTTCTCTAACGGAAGAAATTACCTTTAAAACACACGTGCAGGCTTAGAGCAAAAGAAACCGTGCCATAAGGTGTGAGTAAGTGAAGTGCCTGTGACACCCACAGATCAGAGAAGCAGAGGCCTCCGGGATGGCAAGGCAAGGTTGCCGCATTTCATATGAAGTGCACAATCATCATAAAAGAATGCATTAAATATACATATGTATGCATTCAAATTACACTAACATCACATATATCCATTAGACTTTATCAAAATTAAAATCTTCTGTTCATCCACATAAAACGATGTCACTTACTGCAAAAAATATTCTCAAATATTTATCCAAGTGCTGAGATCCAGAATAAGTAACCCCTAAAATTTCATAATAAAACAACTTGGTGAAACAACGGTCAAAGGATTTGAACACTTCGCCAAATGATGGCAAATAAACACAAGAAAAAGTGCTCGACAGACTCGAGCACCAGGAAGATGCGTCGTAAACACCAACAAAAACCACCACACACACCCACAGTAGCCAAAATCTATAAAACTGGTGGCACCAAACGTGAGGGAGGATGTGGCCCACCCAGCACTGTTGCTGTGCATTCTTGGTGAGAACACCTAAGACGTCCCCTCAATGGGATTAGAAAACCACAAGGCAGGCAGGTCAGCTGCTGCACTGCACACCACAGCGGCTGGTGAACTCTGCACACAGCGGTGGGCCGTCAACTGAAACCACAACAGGCAGCGAGCAGCTCTCAAAATGAAGGCATTCCGTGGAGAACAGCAGTGGATTATCAACCAGGATGTGTGAGCCATGACAGACCACAGGCATTCCCTGGGAGGCTGGGGCAAGAGGAAGCTTTTAAAGGCAAAAGAAGCTTGAGGAAGCGGTTCTGAAACAAAACTTACCAGCCTGAGAGGCTCATTGCAGGGGCTGGCGATGACTCATTGGAAACACTGACAGCTGCTGGGAGACGTCCTCATAGAAGCAACTTCTGAGCAACGTTAAGCCTGGCATTCCAGTCAAAACCTGGTAATATAACCAATATTTTCCATTGTATGCTGCTGTGAAGAGAACAGGCTCTTATTGAACTTACACAAATGACTGTATTGCCAAAAACATAATCATACTCACAAATAGTTCACAAATTTTGGAGAGATAAGGTAGGGAAAGAAGCCTATGTTTCAATTTTTGTTCACAAAGTTATACTTTACCAAATTGGTGTAAATTATAGATAGCTTAAGAAAACTATTTTCCTTAAACCTGGAAAACAAAACATTAAAATAGAGAACCAAAAATATTTTAAATTAAAACTGTAAAAACCCATCATTCCTTTTCGTCAATTCATTCAGTCCCATGTAATTAATTCTCATTCTGCTTGATCTAGGTTAGCAGATTTATGAACCCATCAGTTTCTTCAACAGAGTCCCAAAAATATCTACTTTCTCCAACGGTATGATCTTAAAGGTATCAGCAATCAGAGTTCAAGAGGACTGCCAAAGTCATTTCATTAGAAGCAATTTGGACTGTAGTTGATTGCAAAAGCTTTTAGAGAAACATCAAAACAATAATTTGGATTTGGATCTTTACATGGATGACAAAAACATAGACGGGTCATGGTTAAAAGTCTGATGAGAGTTCATTATAATGAGAAATTGACAAGGAACTTTGGTTATTTCCATAGCATAGAACATTTTAACACAATAATTAGAACTACTACTGATAACATTATACCAAGATATATCAGATATTTAAGAATTTTATACAAATTTTGGAATACACTAATACTGTATCCATACAAATATAACTTAAAGAATGGTTAAGGCCGGGCGCAGTGGCTCACTCCTGTAATCCCAGCACTTTGGGAGGCCGAGGCAAGCCGATCATGGGGTCAGGAGATCGAGACCATCCTGGCTAACAAGGTGAAACCCCGTCTCTACTAAAAATACAAAAAAATTAGCTGGGTGTGGTGGTGGGCACCTGTAGTCCCAGCTACTCGAGAGGCTGAGGCAGGAGAATGGCGTGAACCCGGGAGGTGGAGCTTGCCCTGAGCCAAGATCGCGCCACTGCACTCCAGCCTGGGTGACAGAGCCAGACTCCGTCTCAGAAAAAAAAAAAAAAAAAAAAAAAGGTTAAACATCATTTCTTGTTTACAATGCTTCCCACATATTTAATAATTTAGCATGTCAAATAAACTTAATTAATATATCTCTTTTACAAGGTAAGAATAAAAAGATTTAATTTAGAATTTGATCTTGGGAAAGCTTGTCAAAAATGTCAAAGGTTTAAAACACTTAATTAAAACAGGATAATAGGTCACTGTGAAATAATAGTCATCCATTTAACTATAGTGATAATTAAAATACTTTAAAAGCAAATAAAGTTACACAGACAAAAAAAAAAAAAACCCTACCTCTTTAAAGGAAGAATTTTTCCAAGCAATCAAAAACCTAATAAAGACAGCGCAAAGTACACGACATTATCTTGATAAATTTTTCTAGGCCAGTTACTGTGGAGGCCTCATTACGGAGGGGGAGTGGGGCTGGCGGGACTGAAGGAAGCAAAAAGAGAAGGCACATAAGCCTTAAGTCTGCCTTTCTCATGGTCCAGAACACATAACCCTCCTGCACAAATAACTCAGTCTTCCAGCTATCACCAGATCCTTGACTGATGGGAAAATTACAAGTTAGCTCACGGCAACCTTGGCGTTATCAGCACTGTCAAAGCCCTCTTCAGCTCACAGCACAGAGACTGTCTTATAAAACCCTCACCAAGCCTTCGCCTCCTTGCAGTCAGCTCCTCTCTGCTAACTTGCCCATTGCACTCTCGCAATGTATTTTCATGCTTTCTTCAATAAATCTGCTTTTCTTTATCTGCAACTGTCTTGGTAAATTCTTCTCACCACACCACCAGCCCCAGAGGGTCACCACTCACCTGCGACAGTTACCAAAAAGGCAAGGAACACCCTGATTATTTTTTAATCAGGGGTAGATCAATACTACAAGAAAATCTTGTCGTATTAACAGAGAGGACCAAATTCTAGTTTCATGTCGGCAAACTTTAGATCTTTTTTCTTCTTCTTTTTTTTTTTTTTGAGACAGAGTCTCACTCTGTTGCCCAGGCTTGAGTGCAGTGGCGCAATCTCAGCTCACTGCAACCTCCGCCTCCCAGGTTCAAGCGATTCTCCTGCCTCAGCCTCCCTAGTAGCTGGGACTACAGGCATGCGCCACTACACCCAGCTAATTTTTGTATGTTTAGTAGAGAAGGAGTTTCACCATGTTGGCCAGGCTGGTCTTGAACTCCTGACCTCAAGTGATCTGCCCTCTTCAGCCTCCCAAAGTGCTGGGATTACAGGCATGAGCCACCACGCCCAGCCTAGATCTTAATGTTCTATTTTAGAAAGACTTATAAATTATTTCCTTCTATTTTTAGTCAACTTGATCACATACAAAATGTATTTCATAAAATTCATCTTCCATAAACCTTTTGCAATTTTCTCAAACCTTCTAGAATTTGTTCAAACCTTCAGTTTCGTTCTATACTTCCTCTTTTTTATACTGGAACAACCAATCATTCTAACTTAGGATAAAAATTTACTCTTTTTTCCCTTATAATTTTGGCCACACAAGATTTTCTCATATAAAAAAAAGTTTTATTCTCTTTTTCTTTTCAACTTTCCCTACCAAAGATATAACTTTCTTTGCTTATTTTTTGTCCCATTTACTGGTTCCTTTCTGCCTTGTTTCTATTTCCTTTCAAAATTTGCATTTTCAAGCAACCTTTAAATAACCTCCAAATTAGACAAAATTATTCTTCTTCTAAAAAAAACCCTCATGTCTTTTGTAATTTTTTTACCAAAAATACCAAAAATTGTATCATTATTTTTCATACTTTGTATATAGAGTTACACACATTAATTAGAATTTTTAAATCTTAGTGCCCTTAATTTTTAGTGGAACCTAGGAAGTAAGCAATTTTGAACTGTTATATGATAACATTTTATGAATACATATTTTATAATTTTTCAGAAACGTGCTTCCTCATAGAACAATTTCTCAATGTAGAACAAGACACAATGTTTTCTAATAGACCCAAACAAATTTTATCTTTCCACAGAACTTTCGAAGCCAGGAATAAGCTTACACTTATGTTCAGCGATTAATGTTTTAGTATTTTAACTTGTCTGTGTTACTCCTGAGAAACTTCCTGAGATATTAAGCATCCATCATCTTGAGGTGTTTTCCTATTAACCATTTTTACAGCATGTGACTGTCAGGCGGTCATCTCAAAATCAAGAAACCGAAGCGTTAAACGCACGGCGTTTTGTTTCATTGCTGCGCTTCCTGCGTGAGGAGTAACGGGCGTGCCGCCTCACTTCTGCGGGCACACTTGTTTTTAGGTCAGACTCATGCTTTACAATTAAACATTTAGCAGAGATGAAAGTTGCGTGTCTGCATCATCTTTAACGCTGAGGACTCTGAAGACACCTGCTTTTATCAAACCGGCAAATCTAAACTCACCTTTATTCACCAAAGTTTACCCCAGGTCAAGTGAACTTTAAAAACATTTGGGTTAGTTCCTATTTTTTTTTTTTACAGTTGTAGGTATGCTCATTTATTTCTAAGTCAATTTAAACAATGCCTCTTACTAAGTAGGAAAGACCTTAAAGATCTTTTATTTGCTCCATTTGTAAACAGTCAAGAATCACGCCAATCAAAAAATGTGCACAGCACACAGTCAGCAGTGCTGGGAAAGGATGGCTCGGCTGGCTGAGAAGTTCCCAGGGGGAGAAGCAGAGTCTGGCAGAGAAAACACAGAGCCACCACGAGTTATAGCCTGAGCATCAGCTTCCAGTTAGCCTGACTTCTCATCAGGGAGCTCTAAAGAAAGTCCCTTTTCAAATATCTTATTATCAGCTTTTAACCAGGACAACAGTAAACATTCCCGGTGGTATTGAAGTCTTTCTTTCCTCCCTTCTAGTTCCATTTTAGCTTAGGACAGAAGATCAAACAAACAAAAAGTTCCTATAATGCTCCAAATATTAACCAACTTCCAAACCAAAAGTAAACCTACTTCCGCTGTGATTCAAAACTAGTAAGCCCTGTATGGCTTAACCATGGATGCAAGAGGTCCCCAGAAAGGATGCAAAGGATGTAGCCCCCTTCAGGATCCAAAATTTCTCTTGAAGATAGGCTAAGGAAGTAAAGATGCTCACTGGTAACAAGGTAACCATGGTGAGGCGGTTAAGGTAAGTTCCTGAGAGCAGATGTGGTCGAACAGAGACACTTCATGTTTCGGTCCTGGCCGGTGACCGCCATCAGAAGCATGCCTAGCAACTCGGATCTCCCAGTGGGCAGAGACCGGAGACAGCATCCTCACTGGTTATGACCAAGTTCTCAAGACAGAAAACAGGCCTTAGGGCAAACCCCACAAAAGGCAGAGACAAAGAAAACAGCGGCTATTTCTGGGAAGCTGTGGCCAAAAAGCAACGGGCACCCAGCACCAAATTCACAAGAGTCACCATTTAAAGAACCACTTCTTACAATGTTCTCCTTTCGATCCAAATTTAAAAAGGGACAAGAAAACCTTTTACCTTCTCAACCAGGCATTCCAGGTAGTGGCGTGAGAGAGCTGACTTTGGGAAGAATTC